>NT_187578.1:219541-439082 GCF_000001405.40 Homo sapiens
CAAACTTGCCTAACCCTAATTTCATACCATAGATATGATATGGGATGTTCTGTTCCATACTTTGCTCATTCCATTCCTTATGACTAGAAATCCTTCTCCTTCCTCCTGGGCCTCTTCATAACTAACCTGTCCTCACAGACCTAGCTCAACTATCATCCATGGAAAAATTCTACTTCCTATGAATTCTCATTCTCTATGTTATTTTTTAAAATAGATTCTGCATTTCCATCTGCATATACTCTCTTTCTAGGTTGTAAGCTACCTGCTGTCAATGACTGCTTGACTCACATTTGCATGACTCAAAGCCTAAGATAAGGCCTTGAACCCAGAAGGTACTTAACACATTATTGGATGGGTGGGTGAATGGATAAAGTGGAACCTTTTTCTCAATGCTCGTCTTCAAAATAATTTAGTTAAAGGCATTATGACATGAGGAACACTAAAGGCTTTCTAAAATATGGCCCATTTTACAATAGACTTCAACATAATGCAAGTTCATCTTAAGCCTTATGTATATTTTTTATTGAAAGAGTGTAAGAGACCACAACAAAACAATCCTTGACCTTTTATGTAGTCAGTCCTACAACCTGAATCATAATGGCAATGTAATAGGGGTTTCATTATTAATTTTGTTGTTGATAACTTCAGTTACTTTTTTATATTTGAAATTTTATAACCAAAGCAAGAAGAGAATACAAATACGTAAGTATGCTTAAGAATCATATTCATTACTTTTAAGTTGAGAGCAATGACAACATATTCTTGGCCTATTTTCTCTCCAGACTTTAAACCAAGTACTTTTGCTGGGGACTTTCCCAATGTCTCATCCCTTTTGGGGTGTGTGTGTCTGTGTGTCTGTGTGCTTCAGTTCTTTCTCCACTGCTTTAAGGTCTCAGTTTAACTGAGCATCCAAAACTCATTTTCTTTCAGCCTTTGATTTTATTGAAGGAAACATTAACTCACTACTTTCTAATTAAGCAAATCTCTTTGTGCCCTTCTACTTTTTGTGGCCATTTTTTTTTCTAGTGGAAAAATAGAGGTAAACAATAAGAACAATTTTAAAAAGGAATTAGGGCAATGCCCTTCTAGTCTGGGGATGGTGTTTTCCTACTTAGCAGTTCTCCTCGTGGTGGACCGTAAGATAATTCAGGATACTCCCTTCCCATTAGTTTATTTTGACATTATCATGCTTTCTGCTTTCTTCTCAACTGCTTCAGGTCACCTGCTGAGTTTTGTGGTTGGCATCATTCTTGTTCTTATTGTTGTCTTAAAAAGACTAGTCTCTAACAGAGATGGCTTACTTTTTTAGATGAACTCAGACTTTTAAAAAAAAATTGCTTTTTGTTACATGTTATCAAATGTTATCAAGGTATATATCTTTTTAAAAAATAATCTAAAGTGATTTTTTTCATAATAATGAAGTCCCAGAGGTAGAATTCAATAGAATCATCTCTCTTTTCAATTTTATATTTGAAAATGTGTTCTGGTTTACATTTTTATGTCTAGGACTTCCAAATACTTTATTTTTCACTATTCTTTGGGTCCAAGGTAGAGTGAGTTCTATCTAGTTGCAGTAGGCAGAGATGATTGACCTGAGACTTAGATTAAGACTATATTGTTGAGTTCTTTCAAGACCTGCTGAGGATTGACCCAAGACCTAAGAGTCAATCAGGAGCTTAAAAAAACTGATCTAGGGCCAATGTAGAATCAAATGATGGAGCTGAGTAGCTGAGGGACGTTGTTTATATTAACAATTACTGTGTACCTACTATGTGCCAAGCACTGTATGAAGTGCTAAGGTTACTGTGCTGACCAAGACAAACATGGTCCTGGCTCATGGAGCAAAGTTGACAGTCCAGAAAAATAAAGATATGAAACAATTACACAATACATACTATATTAATCTGTTCTCACACTGCTAATAAAGATATAACCAAGATGGGTAATTTGTAAAGGAAAGAGGTTTAATGGAGTCACAGTTCCACATGGCTGGGGAGGCCTCACAATCATGGCAGAAATTAAAGAGGAAGCAAGACACATCTTACATGGCAGCAGGCAAGAGAGAACTTGTTCAGGGGAACTCCTCTTTATAAAACCATCAGATCTCATGAGAAAGAACCCCCAATGATTCAATTACCTCCCACTGGGTCCCTCCCATGACACGTGAGATTGTGGGAGCTATAATTCAAGATGAGATCTGAGTGGGGACACAGCTAAACCATATCACATACTAGTAAGAAGTATGATGAAAGTGTGTAATAGACTTGAAGTAGTCTGAGAAGGTGGCAAAACTTTCCCACTGAAAATGGCATTTAGGCCAGACACAGTGGCCCATGCCTGTAATCTCAGCACTTTGGGAGGCCAAAGTGGGAGGATCACTTGAGTCCAGGGGTTTAAGATCAGCCTGGGCAATGTAGTGAGACTCTATCTTTACAAAAACATTTTAAAAAGGATAGCTAGGCATGGTGGCATGTGCCTGTAATCCCAGCTACTGGGGAGGCTGAGGTAGGAGGATGACTTGAACCAGGAAGGTCAAGAGTATGGTAAGCTATGATTGCATCACTGCACTCCAGCCTGGGTGACAGAACAAGATCCTGTCTCTTAAAAAAAAGAAAAGAAAATGGCATTTAATTGCAGATCTGAAAAACAGGCAGACATTTTCCTAGGCAAATATAGAGGGGTAAGAGTGTTCTAGGCCAGGGGTCCCCAACCCCAAGACAGCAATGACTGTCTTGCAGACTTTCCATTCAGGCACAGAACTTAATTGTGAACCAGACATATAAGTTCAAAGGATTCATAAAGGTAAATAGGGCAGCTGAGTCCTGGTCACTTACTTGAGGTCCAGGCAGGGATTCAGGATTAGAGGGAGAATGAGGTATTTGTGATGCACCAGATTTAAGCCATAGGAACAAAGCTGAAAGACTAGTCTTATGAACAAGGACAATGTACTGTGGGAGCCCTGAGGAAACCTGGAATTACCCCTGGGTCTAAAAAGTCACTTAAGAAAAATGTGGGGGCCCAGGTATCCTCACAGTGTTCCTGAGTCTGGGTAGTTTGCAAAGATTTGACTAAATTTCAGATTTCCCTGGATTGTAGGTCTTCCATTCTTTGTATCTCACTGCTTTAGTCGGGGATAGCTCAAGGGCTGCATTGTGGATCTAGCAGAAAGAAACTGGAGCGAAGAGACTGTAGAGAAGGGCAGTGCCAATGCCACCCTCTTGTTGTGTCTGGGTCTTCACATTGTCCTTTATAAGCTTTGCAACTCTCTAAAAGTGAACAAAGTATTTCTCTTGAAAGCTCAAAGAGTGTATTCCTAAATCCCACATCATCTATTGGTGAAATCTATTTTGCACTCACCTGCAATCTCACTGGATGTGTTCCTATCCCTTAATGTCTTTGTTCTTTAAAAAATAGATTTTTCTAGCTTTGAGAAATTAAATGCAAATTAATTTAAAAATTAAATTTGATCTTAGTTGAGGATCATGTACTGAACAGAAATGATTCAGAATAGGGAGGGGTAGCTCAGTATCACTGAGGAAACGAATGCCTATTTAACCTGTGTCAAAGATGAGCTCCCTTTTGGGATCATGGCTTGCTCTGAGTGTTGGGGAATATGATGAAATGTAACTCTCACGTCTCATTCTTATCTTTTAATTTTTCCTTTTCTACTCCAACTGCCTTACCTCCAATTAAGATTTGGCATCATATAGAAATATACCACTCTCCCTTAATTCTAGCCATAATCTCATTTTATTGTGAACCAACCTAATTTTGAGGAACTTCTAGGGAGTTTCACCATGTTAAATGTTGTGGAACTCATATTAGAGATGCCTTCAACTTGACCTGGGCCATGGGTCGTGCTGTCACACATATTTGCTTCCAGGAGGCCCCAACACCAGGGAAAAAGCGTACCACTCAGTAGTGCAGACTGGCTATAACATGTTAAGATGTCTTTTGCAAAATAAAAGATATCTCAATGAATATTCAGTATTTGGTAACAGACACACTAAAGGGGAAAAAAAAAAACAAAATATGCTGCAAGGAGTACTTTTCAGTGTCACTTTATGGTCCCTGGATGAGAAATGTTTTCATGCTCAATTATTATTCAGTCAAAACCTAAGTACACCTGATATCTGGTGAGTTAGTTAGGAGGTTTTCTACCTTGGTTGGTGGGAAGAGAAAGTATTCTTGGCCCTGTGTAAACCCCTATGATTACTTACTCTAATTCTCTTAGACGGTTTCTCTCTGGGCCTTGGGTAGTTTCCACCCATGCATGTGCTCATCAGTACTCTGCTGAAGACTCAAGGTCCCTCTGCAAACCCCCAAGTGCTCTCTCTCTGCAGCACTTTCCTCTCTGGAACTCTGCCTTGTGAACTTGAGATGCCATGGCCTCCCCACATTCCCAGCTCTATCTACCCAACTCAGGGTGATCGCTGGCCACTTGCCTGGATTCCCCTTGTTGTATCATTGCCTAGATACTCTCCAGACTATAAGCTAGGGCAATCATGGGGCTCACCTCTGCTTGTTCCCATCTTTCAAGGATCATTGCACTTTATTGCCTCATGTCCAATGTCTTGAATACCATTGTCTCATTTATTTTTGTCTGTATTTCTCAGTTGTTTCAGGCATGAAATCCTACTTACTTTATCTTGGCTGGAAGCAAAATCCCTCCAGAGCTATTTTAAGGTTGTTAAGATTGTCTTCAGTGCTCACTTTTTGAGGCCCCAATCCCTAGGATAACAAACCCATAAAGAATAATCTACATCTAAGAGTAAACTTTTATTTCATGGCAAAGTGAAATGAAAAGATTTTAACTATTCTTTTAAAATCCTTTTCCTGAGTCACTAATTTAATATACAGTTATTTATAGTTTCTCTGCAAAGGATTATTTTTATATTTACAGTAGCCTACTTACAAATCATTTTTATATTAATGAAATTGTTGTGAAGACTAAGTTTAATAGTTAATGAAGCTGCTAGAGTTTTACTTTTTCAGGCGTATTTTTACATATTTTTCATTTGGTTTTGCATATTTTTGATGCCTTTAAACAATTTCTTATGTATTTTCATGGGCTCTTAAATAGCTCACAGGCTCTAGCAATTGGCCCTATAGTACCTAACGGATAAAACAGCCCTGCTTTCTTCTGGAGTTCAGAGTGTTTTAGTATCACCCGTAGACTCTGGGCTTGGGAAGCCCTTTGTTTCCCCCAGTACAACAAGGCCCTGAGGTAATTTTCAGATTTCCCTCTGTTAGGTATTAGGCAGGAATATGGTTGTCCCCTTGGCTAAAACTGTGACTTTTAACCCAGCTAAAGAAGTTTCTTCACCAGCTCAAAAATTCTCATCCTAGGGACTCTGCTCTTAATTCTCCTAAATTAGTAGTTCTCCATCAGGGGAAGTCTCCATGCCTTTTTTCTCTCTCCCCTTGAAGAGGACATATGGCAAAGTCTGTAGAAATTTTTAGTTTTCACCCTTGGGTGGCAAAGGGAGAATTGCTACTATTGGCATTTTGAGGATAGAAGCCGGCAATATTACTAAACATCCAGCAATGTTCAGTAGAGCCCCTCACAACAAAGATCTTGCCTGCAAGATCAACAGTGACAGAGTTGAGAAAAAATGTTCCAGCCTAGGCAACATAGTGAGACCCTGTTTCCACAAAAACTTTAAAAATTAGCTGGACATGGTGGCATGTGCTGTAGTTCCAGCTACTCAAGAGGCTGAGGTGGGAGGATTGGTTGTACCAGGGAGGTCAATGGTGCAAGTGAGCTGTGATGGCACCACTGCATTCTAGCCTGGGCAACAGAGTGAGATCCTGTCAGAAAAAGAAAAGAAAGGAAAAAACACTGCTCAAAAATCAATGTAGGCTCAAAGTGCAGAATTCTTGGGCTTACTTCGAAGGGTACAATTTTTGGTGGGCTTGTTGTTGCCTAGCTTTTTAGATTTTTATTTTAGTGAACTCTATTAAGTCATTCTAATTTTGAACGGAATCATCATGACGTTTTAAAAAGATTAATTCAACTTATCCTCTATACAAAGAGCAATTTGTAGCTTCCTTAAAATCAAAAGTGCTGGGCTATTACAAATGACCATGGTCTGTGACTTGACCACTAGCAATTTAACTGACATCAAGGCTGGGCAGAAAGGCCCAGTAGGTCATGGAGACCCTTTTGAAGGGCATTTTTATTCTCTGCACATTCTCTGACTGATCATGTGGCTCTGACTTTGCACAGCTTAGAAATGAAAGAGGTTTGTTCCCCTCCTGCTATCACCATGCTCCATCATCATCCATTTTCTGTACCACAGACACAGATACTTTGTAATGGGTAATTATTTTTATTTGTCCCGAGTTACCTAGGAATGATTATATTTCTCATAAACAAGAGGAAAGAAATTATGTAGAAAATTCCATGGGAGCACGTGAGGTAGCATTGAATCTTTTACTGAAATTCATATTCCAATGAAGTCTGATTCATAATATATTTACCTCCTAGAAATGAAGAGCTTTATTTGAATTAATTAGCAAGAAACATCAGTGACTGTCAATATTGATTTTTTCTTTGCTTTAAGTTCCTATCTGATGTGGAAATAACCAATTCTGTAATTCTTATCCTTGAAGTATTCTAATTACGAGAGTTTGTGCATAATGAGCTTCAAGTACATAAACAAATTTTGGTAGCATCTATAGCTCTTCCTAGAACTTCATACATTAGACCTGGCATTGTTTTTAGAGTTTTAAAACATGTTAGGCTGATTCTTATCTTTGGAAACCTTTGCTCCTGCTGTTCCTTTTAGCTGAAATGCTTCTCTCTCTCATGTCTGATAGGGGAACACCAACACTATTTTAATCAACTTAGACAAGCTATCTCCTCTAACAAACCTTTACTTATGTTTATTCCAACTAGGGCTGCATTATTATTTCATGGGCCCTAAGCAGTTTTGTGGACACCTTTCTTCATGAAAAAATTAAAATTTGTATTTTACAATTGAATTGGCATAAAACTGAATATATTAATATTATATATTGAAAACATTTTTGTCTACCTAAAAGTTAACTTTTCTTCTGATTTTAAAATAAAATAAAACATTTTTGTAGACTGCTAAAAAGTGGGTCCTAGGCACTGTCTACTGTGCCTAAAAGATAACACATCTCTGACCACAAGGGTTAGAATTGATCATTCTTTGGCGCCACCATTATTTCTTTTGCATATAAGTGCCTATGATACATTGTTATATTTGTTTATATATTTTTCAGTCTCTTCTTGATATCTGTTAGCCCATAGAATACAGGGTATTTGACTAGCTTATTGCTTCTAGTCATGCCTAATGGGATACCTGGCATAATTTAAGAATAAGTGAATGAATAAATTATATGGCTTGTTATGGTATTTTGAAACCTTTGTCACCAAGAAACTCAAATTCATGAGAACACAGCAAGGCTGGGCTAAATGAGAATCTTGGTGGCTGCCATATGTGGTACTTCTTCAAAAAGAGTTGTGATGACTTTTGCTTTGAGAAGATGAAGTAAGACATACTTTTCCCTATTCCTTTCACTAAGTACAACTAGAAAGCTTGGATGCTTTATATAAAAGAAAAGAAGACTCAAGAGAGAGAAAAGCCAGACTGGCTAAGGACTTCACAACACAAGGAACAACATAGTAGTGACTTCTCAGGATTTTCTTTTGCCTCAGGTGTCTCAGACCTGATATTGGAGAAGCTGGCAACCACAAATGCCAATAGGAGCGGACAAATAATGACCCAAGGAAAGCCTGCTTGTTCTAGCCAAAGGGCCTGGAAAAGGGTAGCCGGACAAGCCAGACAACTTTTAGATAATAACCTCTTGACCCTAGTCAAACACCACAGAAAAAACTGAGGCCCCACCTCCACCTACTAGAAAGATTGAATTAAGTGCTTAGATATCCACCCTGGCCAGGAGGTAAGGAGGGTCCCAAAACTCTTGCTGGGTTCAGGACAGAGGCCAAGTGGGGAGCCAGGACTTTATTTCTTGATGAGCAATGAGTATCTTCCCTTCCATGGTGTTAAGAGAGAATATGTGGGGAGCCAGGATTCCTACTCCAACAGGCAGTAATGAGGCACTCCTACGCGTTCCTCACTGGGATGGTATCAGAGGAAGCCTAATGTGAAGTTAGAAATTTTACGACAAATAACAATGCCACCTTCTTGCAGTATCTGTGGAGGCCACCTAGGGGCAGTAATGAGGTACCTCTGTCTCCACCAGGGTGGTATCAGTGGAGGCCTAGTGGGAGTGCTGGACTCCACCTCTGTTAAGCAATAACAAGGGGCCCCTCTCTACCCATGTATAATAGGAGGCCAAGTGGAGAACCTAGACTTCACCTTCACATGGCAGTTACAAAGTGACATTCCGCCTCTACCCACTTGAGCAGCGTCAGGGGAGTTACAGTACAGCACAAGATCAAAAGAAAATTTTGAGCCTTATAATATCCTAAGGTTTTAATAATCACTTTTCATACCAAGAATCAAAAAGATCTCAAACTAATTATGAAAACACAATCAAAAGACACCAATGACAGGATAACATAGATGTTAAAATCCTGAAAAGGATCATAGAACAGCCATCATGCAAATGCTTCAGTGGAAAATTACAAATATCTTTGAAACAAATGAAAAAATAGTCTCAGCAAAGAAAGTAAGTTTTAATTACTGTAACTTTGTAATATATTTTGAAATCAGAAAGTATGATGCCTCCAGCTTTGTTCTTTTGCTCAAGATTGCTTTGGCGATTTGGGTCCTTTTTCCATGGGAATTTTAGGATTTTTTTTCTATTTCTGTGAAAAATGCCACTTGAATTTTGATAGGAATCACATTAAATCTGTAGATCACTTTGTATAGTCTGGACATTTTACCAATACTAATTATTCCAATCCATGAACATGGGATGCCTTTTCTTTTTTGGTGTCTTCTTCAATGTCTTTCATCAACATGTACTGTTTTCAGTGCAGATATTTTACCTCTTTAAATTTATTCCTAAGTATTGTATTCTTTTTCAATGCTATTGTGAATTGACTCATTTTCATAATTTCTTTTTCAGACAGTTCATTGTTAGTGTATAGAAACAAAACTGATGTATGTTTTGTATGGTAAGAGTTTTACTAAGGGTGTTTGTTGTTTTTGTTTGTTGTGGTGAAAGGAATGAGAATCTTCCACCATACTAGGTTTTACTGAATCATTCTTCAAAATAGTTGTTCCAAATAGCACTTCTTTCAGCTGTGTAGAAGAGCATTTGCTGCTCCATATGGCCAACCTTTGATGCTATCAGAGTTTTACCTTCTTCCAATTTCATGGATGTGAAACAAAAAATATTATTTTAGTTTTTATAACCTATTAATGAGGTTGTAAATATTTTCATGTTAGTCATCCATATTTCTTCTTTAAATTGACTATACCCATTTTTTCTATTAGGTTGTATAATTTATATAATTTCTATTAAGTTGTTAGTCTTTTCTGATAATTCCCAATATTAATTTTATTTTGACATTGATTTGTATTTTTTACATCATAAATTGCTTTCAAAAATCTGGATTGGTATAATAATAGTAAGGTAATCAGTATCTGAATTAAATGATCTTTGAAATTAAAGTTTAACAAGGAAAGTCTCTGAGTAAAAATGGCTAACTAGTAAAATGTAAATATAAAAGACATCACTAATGTGGAGGGACCTGAGTGGCCAAACACTGTGAAGTTATTTGTATCCCATATGAGTGCTTACCAATGGGTCACCTCAGCAGAGGAGGATTTTAATGATCAAGTGGATAGAATGACCTATGACCTGTGGATACCACTCAGCCTCTTTCCCCAGCCACCCATGTCATTGCCCAATGGGCCCATGGACAAAGTGGCCATGGTGGCAAGGATAGAGGTTACACGTGGGCTCAGCATCATGGACTTCCACTCACCAAGGCTGACCTGGCTACTGCCACTGCTGAGTGCCCAATTTGCCAGCAGCAGAGACCAACACTGAGCCCTAGATATGGCATCATTCCTTGGGGTGGCAGGTTGATTATATTGGACCTCTTCCATCATGGAAAGAGCAGAGGTTTGTCCTCACTGGAGTAGACACTTACTCCAGATATGGGTTTGCCTATCCTTCACGCAATGCTTCTGGCAAGACTATCATCTGTGAACGTATGGAATGCCTTATCCACCATCATGGTATTCCACACAGCATTGCCTCTGAACAAGGCACTCATTTTGTGGCTAAAGAAGTGCAGCAGTGGGCTCATGCTCATGGAATTCACTGGTCTTACCATGTACCCTATCATCCTGAAGCAGCTAGAATGATAGAATGGTGGAATGGCCTTTGGAAGTCACAATTACAATGCCAACTTGGTGACAATACTTTGCAGGGCTGGGGCAGAGTTCGCCAGAAGGCCATGTATGCTCCGAATCAGTGTCCAATATACAGTACTGTTTCTCCCATAGCCAGGATTCATGAGTCCAGGAATCAAGGAATGGAAGTGGAAGTGGCACCACTCACCATCACCCCTAGTGATCCACTAGCAAAATTTTTGCTTCCTGTTCCTGCGACATTATGTTCTGCTGGCCTAGAGGTCTTAGTTCCAGAGGGAGGAACACTGTCACCAGGAGATACAACAATGATTCCATTAAACTGAAAGTTAAGAGTGCCACCTGGAAACTTTGGGCTTCTCCTACCTTTAAGTCAATGGGCTAAGAAGGGAGTGACAGTATTGGCTGGGATAATAGACCTGGACTGTCAAGATGAAATCAGTCTACTACTCTACAACTTAGGTAAGGAAGAGTATGCATGGAATCTATTAGGAGATCCATTAGGGCGTTGCTTAGTATTACCATGCCTTGTGATTAAGGTCAATGGGAAACTACAACAGCCTAATCCAGGCAGGACTACAAATGGCCCAGACCCTTCAGGAATGAAGGTTTGGGTCACACCATCAGGAAAAAAAGCACAACCTGCTGAGTTGCTTGCTGAAGGCAAAGGGAATATAGAATGGGTAGTAGAAGAAGTTAATCACCAATACCAGCTATGACCACTTGACCAGCTGCAGGAATGAGGACTGTAATTGTCCTAAGTATTTCCTCCTTCTTTTGTTAAAAACATGTTTGTGCACGTATACACTTGTACTAAGAAAATATCTTCATTTTATTTCCTTTATCATGTGACATAAGATTTATTGACTTCATATCAGCATTTAAGTATTGTTAACTTTATGTATTTGGGTTGGGGATTGGTACATTTCCAGTTGTATGAAGGGTAGTTGTATTACATTAGACATAATTATGACCTTATTACTGTCTTTATTTGAAGATTATGCATAATCTCAGAAGATGTGCATGGGTTCAAGTTGACAAGGGGTAGACTTGTGATGGTTAATACTGAGTGTCAACTTGATTGGATGGAAGGATGCAAAGTATTAATCCTGAGTGTGTCTGTGAAGGCATTGCCAAAGGATATTAACATTTGAGTCAGTGGGCTGGGGAAGGCAAACCCACCTTAATCTGGATGGGCACCATCTAATCAGCTGCCAGAGAATATAAAGCAGGCAGAAAAACTTGAAAAGGTTAGACTGGCCTAGCTTCCCAACCTATATATTTCTCCCATGCTGGATGCTTCCTGCCTTCAAACATCAGACTCCAAGTTCTTCAGTTTTGGAACTCAGACTGGCTCTCGTTGCTCCTCAGCCTGCAGATGGCCTATTGTGGGACCATGTGACTGTGTGAGTTAATACTTAATAAACTCTCCTTTATATATATATATATATATATATATATATATATATATATATATATATATACACACACACACACACACATACACACACACACAGACACACACATATATACACATACACACACATATATATACACATACACACACACATACATTCCATTAATTCTGATTGATTATGTCCCTCTGGAAAACCCTGATTAATACAATTAAGAAATTAAAAGAAATGTCCATACTACCCAAAGAGGTCTATAGATTCAATGAAATCCCTACCAAAATTCCAATGTAATTTTTCACAGAAATAAAAACAATTCTAAAATTTGTATGGAACCACAAAAGATCTCAAACAGTCAAAGGAATAGAGAAAAAAAAGAATAAAACGGAATGCATTACACTACCTAACTTAAAAATCTATAAGCTATAATGAACGAAAACAACATGGTCCTGGCATTAAAAACAGACATTTTGACCAATAGAACAGTATAGACAGCCCAGAAATAAGCCCATATATTTGTGGTCAATTGATTTTCAACAGAGGTGCCAAGAAAGCACTAGTGGAGAAAGAATAGTCTCTTCAATAAATGGTGTTGGGAAAACTGGATCTACACAAGCAGAAGAACAAAATTGGACTCTTATTCCACACCATAAACAAAAATTAACTCAAAGTGGATTACGTACTTAAACATGAGACCCGAAACTGTAAAACTACAAGAAGAAAACAAGAGAAATGCTTCACAATATTGGACTGGACAAAGACGATTTTAGATATGACCCCAAAAGCACAAGCACAAGCAAAATATAAACAAACGGGATTACACCAAACAAAAAAGCTCTGCACAGCAAATGAAACAGTAGAGTTAAGAGACAACCTACAGATCAGGAGAAAATATTTTCAAACATACATCTGATGAGGGGCTAATATTTAAAATATATGAAGAACTCAAACAACTCAATAGCAATAAAACAACCCAATCTAAACATGGTCAAAGAATCTTTGTAGACACTTCTCAAAAGAGGACATACAAATGGCCAACAGATATATATTAGATATATTATATATCTAATATATATTAGATATGTAATATATATCTAATATATATATTTATAAATTTATATATATTATATGTATATATATATTCTCATCACTGATGATCAGGGAAATACAAATTAAAACCACAATGAGGTATTACTTCATACCTGTTAGAATGGCTATTATAAAAAAGATGAAAGATAGTAAGTGTTGACGATGGTGTGGAGAAAAAAAAATGCTTGTGCACTGTTGAATGGGAATGTAAATTAATATATCCATTCTGGAAAACAGTATGGAGGCTCCTCAGAAAACTAAGTATATAATTTATCATATTATCCAGTAATCCCACTTCTGAGTGTGTATCCAAAGGAATTGAAATCAGTATGCCAAAAATATTTATGCGTTCTCATGTTCATTGCAGCATTATTCACAACAGCCAAGATATTAAAACTACCTAGGTGTCAATTATCAATGAATGGATAAAGAAATTGGGTATATGTATGTGTGTGTGTGTGTGTGTGTGTGTATGTGTATGTATATACATGTATGTATGTATATGTATATATATGTATATACACACACACATACATATATACACACACCAAATTACTATTTGGGGGTGTGTGTGTGTATATATACACACACACAACACACATACATATATACACACACATACCTAATACACCAGATTTTCTTCATTCATTAATAATTGACACCTAGGTAGTATATATATAGTGTGCATGTGTGTATATATATATATACACACACATATATATACACACATACTTATATACACATATATATAGTGTGTATGTGTATATATATATACACACACATACATACATAAACCAAATTTTGTTTATCCATTCATTGATAATTGACACCTAGGTAGTATATATATAGTATAGTGTTACTATACTATTTGGTGAACATATATATGTAGTATTGTAATGGAATACTATTTAGCCTTAAAAAGGGGGAAATAACATGGATGAACCTGGAGCACATCATGCTAAGTAAAATAAGCTAGGAACAGAAAGACAAATACCGTATGATTTCACTTACATGTGGAATCTAAAAAAGTTGAAATCATAGAAATAGTGAGTAGAATGATGGTTACCAGTGGCTGGAAGAGGGGGATGGATGGAGAAAGGGAAGATGTTGATCAAAGGGTGTAAAGTTTCAGATAGACAGGAGGCATAAGCTTTAATGATCTGTTGTGCAGAATGGTGATTATAATGATATATATTTCAAAATTCCTATAAAATTAGATTTTAAATGTTTTGGTAGTAAAAATAAGTACCTGAGGTGATACATTTGTTAATTATGCTGATTTAATCATTTCATATTATAAAAATCAAAGCACCACATTATACCTCATAAATATATATAACTATTATTTGTCAATTAAAGAAAAGTGGGAGACAGCTAATGGGAACAGGGCTTGCTTTTGGGGTGAAAAAATATTTTGGAACTTGGTGGTTGTTGCATAATACTGTGAAGGTACTCAATGTCACTGAATTGTATTCTTTAAGATGGTTAACTTTGTATTGTGTGAATTTCACCTCAATCAATGAAAAAGATGGAAAAAATAAAATTAAAACGTAAGCAAAAGACTGGAAGAAAATATTGAAAATATGTATCTGATAAAGATTTGTATATAGACTGTACAAAAAACCTTTACACCTTGAAAATAATAAGACGAACAACCCAACCACAAAAGGTATTTGAATAGACACTTCACAAAAGAATATATAAAAATGGCTAATAAGCACATGGAAAGATGCTCAACATAATTTTTTATTAGCAAAATGAAAATTAAAACCACAATGAGATATCATTTCACGCCCAGTAGAATAGCTATAATAAAAAAGATAAACAATAAAAATGTCAATGACAGTGTGGAGAAATGGGAACTCTCATACATTGCTGGTGGGAATGTAAAATGATATAGCTACTTTGGAAAACGTTTTAGTAGTGCTGTTAAAAAATTAAACATAATTTAACGTATGACCCAGCAACTCTCTTAGGTGTCTAATATCCATGAGAAATGAAAATATAAATCCACACAAAGAATTGCACACAGATGTTATTAGCATGGTTTTCCATAATATTGAATACAACCAAATACTGGATATAGCCAAAAATTCAAAACAATCTAAATGTCTACCAACTGGTAAAAGTGCAATAGCCATACAATGGAATATTATTCGGCAGTTAAAAGGAAAAAAATTACTGAATGTGCAACAACATGAATGAATCTCAAAAATATGCTACGTGAAGAAATGCAGAAATAAGAGGTCGTGTATTATATTATTCTATTCATTTAAAATATCCAGAAAAGGCAAATCTGTAGAGTCAGAAAGCAGATTACCTGGCTTTGGGATATGGTGAAGGAGTTGATGGTGGGAATTAACAGTAAATAGACATGATAATTCTTTTAGGGGTGATTAAAAAGTTCTAAAACTATCTTATGGGAAAGTTGCACAATTTGGTAAATTTATTTAAAATATTGAATTGTACACTTAAAATGAGTGAATTGGTATATATAAAATATACCTCACTGTAGTTACTCCCGTCTCTTTGTGTGTGTGTGTGTGTGTGTGTGTGTGTGTGTGTAGCCATATACATATAAAAAGCTTGGTTGCATTTTGGACCAGAAAAATGAAAATAGAGGGGAATTTTGTATCCTAAAGCTTGTCTTATATTCTCCACTTTATTGTTATTCTTTATTAATTACATGGAGAAGCCATCTAAAACACTAGGTGTTTGATGCCTTTGCTTTTTCTCGTGCCTCTGCCTTCTTGAACATGATTAATATTTAATTTTCTTTTCAGATATACAACACTGTATTTGGCTGATGCTAACAGGAAAGTTCATTTATATCATAAATACTAAGTAAATTCTAAGATATTTGGGTTAAGTAAGGGCAAAATTAAAATGGTTGTCCATTTTAAAATGATGGTTATCCAATCAATTCAATGTGTTTTCTACATATAGATTCCTTTCTTATTGTAGAAAATAACATCCTAAAATATAATGGTGAAATAACACATGTAGTATGGGTATGATTTTATAACAGAAAATATCCAATTTTAATTGAAAAAAATTAAGTTGCCTAAAACTTAAATACTGTGGTTGGTATGGATTTATAAAGCACATAATATTAAATTTGATCAGAGAAACTTTTAATTGACAAGTGAGGAGTTGATATCTCAAAAGGGAAGGATATGTATTTTAAAGTTTCATTCTGGAAAAGGGCAGAAAGAAACTTAGGAAGGATAGAAATGAAGACATTAAAATTAATGTCTGACCTTTTAAAAAGTACAGCTGGCCATTCAAATAGACTGGTACTTCCTATGTTACCTTTCATACTGTAATCAAAATCTACAAGAACTGTTGGTAGGGATGACAGAGAAACAGAACAAATGAAAAATAATGACTTTAAGAGCAGATATCTGAAATGTGTAGTATTGCTTTGGCTAGAGAATAAAAAATGTACTGGATTTTTAAAACTCTGGACTGGAAATTTCATTAAAGCTTAAAATCTTTACTTCATTGTATTAAGAAGAATCAAAACTAACTAATCTCCTAATACAATTATATTTTCAGTTCAAGGCAGGGAAGATGTGTTCTAATAAAATATTTAATGACAATCTGCTATTGCCCAGCTACTCCATTCTTGTAAGCTAAGTGAATGTCTTATAAGTTAAATGAAATGTGTTATGCCTTTACTGTTTTATGTTTGGGTCACACACAGGGCTGAGGGGAACCAGTGAAACAGATCGGTGACATATTAACCTGAAGTTGTTCATGGCTGTGTATTCAAGAGAGCAAGGACAAATAATGGTCAAGGAAGGAAGTCAGGGATTGGTGGCTCTGTACTAAGTGTCAGCTTCAAAGGGAGAGACCAGAGCATAAACAGACAATTCTCTAGGTTGCAAATTGGGAGGATTAGGAACAAGTAAGAGAGATCCATGCAGGATGGACAAGAAAAAAAAGTTTTATACCAAAAATTGTATTTCATGGCATTAGGGCAGTCTACTGGGGTAAGGCACTATGCAGTACTAGGCAATTAGAATTCTATTCACTAGCTATGTGCACAAGCGGCTCCTGACCTGGTCATTTTGGCTGTAAAACTATTCATGGCAAGTATATATTATTTGCTTTTTATTGGAATGATTATTAGTCTGACTTGACTGTGTTGTAGATCACTGTATTGCTTTTGCACACAGCCTGCTTATCTAGAAAGCTGATATCTAGTAGCTGATATTTTTATGTAAGTACCTAAGGGACTTCTCAATATATGGTTCTTATACTATGCAACCTATTTCTATTTCAGCCTGGACAGTTTTTGACGGTGCAGTCTTGCTATATGGTGTGAGAAATGGCTGTAGGAAACAACACTCAACGAAGTTATTCCATCATCCCGTGTTTTATATTTGTTGAGGTATGTGTATTTTTTAACCTTTATGGACAAATTGAAATAAAAGTAACAGTTTTTATTCTGATAACTTAGATTATTTTATAAAATTAATTTTATGATTGGTAAGTCAATTTTGATAGCACAAATATTGGTAAAGATTAATAAACTATGCAAAGTGTTTCTTAAATAGGAAGTCATAGAGTAAGAATTTTTTAAACTTCACCTTTGGATATATAATATATCCAAATTAATATATCCAAGAAATATAATAAAATGAATATTGTGTTTTATTATATTTCTTCTATTTTCGACAATGATGTGAATGTTAACTATGAAAGAGAATGAAGCATTTTAATTAATTTTTTTATTAAAAAATCAATATCCTGTTTCAGGAAGTCAATAATCCATGCATTTTACAGATGATATTAGTTCATGGTCTTTTGCCTTGGAACCCAAATAAAGAAAAATAATCTTAGAGTTTACTATCTCCTCTGGACATTTTAGTAGAGTATTGGGAGCTTGTGCAATGTATGATTTCTTTTGTCCTGAATTACTTTGTTCAGTTGCTCCAACTTTGTACTAGCAGTTTTTCCAGCACCTTTTTGGTTAAATTTCCTGAACTCCTTTTGTACTCTACCTCTGTTTCTATGTTTGCTATAGAGGAGACAAAGACATGAATTTTTTAGGAAATTCGGAAAAAAACTGCTTTCTAGGTTATCTCAAAATAAGATGTTGATTTGCCAGAGATGTTATTGTATCTGCCTTATCAAGAAAATAGGGCGTCTAGTGGATCGGTTTTTTTTTAGCCTAAAGATCAGACCTAAAATATGACAGTGTAAAGAGCTGAAAAGTAAGTATCCTGAACTTCTGTCTGGGTAACTGAAGGATAGTCTCCACATCCCAGGGGTGAGCTGTAGCATATTCTTTCTTACGGCATCTTTTAGGCTGACTGTGGGAGAAATGTGTGTTGATCTACTTTATTATCCATATAAAAACAAAGTTGGGTTAAACTACTACTCATATTAGCAAAAATGTACTTTCAGTACATCTGTTGTTTATACAAATCCTGTGAAACACTTAGACAAGAACTTTTATGTTCTCCAACTTGAAATAACTTTACCTGCCTATATAGTCAGATAATTTTGAGCATTCTGATTTTTGATCAGATATATGGGTGTTTGGCTGATCATTGAGTTTCACCTTATAGACATTGCTTGGTACTTTTAGATGAACAAATATTTCATAACTTATTTTCTGGTGATATTTGATAATCTGTTCATATTGCAGAACCAGGTAAAGATAGGAGAGAAGGTTGGAACAGAGATGTTAATATAAGCGAAGTTACATATAGACTCAATTTAAGCTAAATATCTGAATGGGTAAACAAAGAACTCATCATTCAACAAGAAACACATATTCTTAATATTTTGCATTTAACTTGCTATACGATGCCAAAATAACTCCATTCAGACAATAGTGATAATTATACATATTGTGGGTTCTGGTTACGATTCTTCTTATTAATATTGTGGTGAAGGGAAAAAATCATTTTTCCTGCTGCTTATGCGAAAAAGTTAGAAGGTAAAATAACAGTACCTTTTTCAGTGTTTGCTTTCTCTTTTGTTATATGAAAAATAATTTTTTAAGTAGGCTGCGGGAAGTTAGGGAATAAGTCATCCATCATCATCTTTATCCTCCCTGCAGCAATTTTATTTTATATTTTCTTAAAAATCAAGGAGGAAGCAACCCTCAAAGTGAGATGTTTAATTTATTGCTGGAAGCTGTAGTCTCCGAAGATTTTCAGCTCTCTAATGTGTGAATGAAGAGCTTGGCCGGTGGAGCAGCAACAAAGGAGATAAATTAGTTCTTCTGTAGCTTACCCTGACACAAACATAAATAGAAGTCTAAAAATCTGGGAGAGGAAAGATGGTTTATTCTTTTTCTTGTTGTATTGTTGTTCTTATTTTGCATGGAAATTCTCTTAGAACTGTCTTAGAAATAGGCAGGCAAAAGGGAAGGGAAGTAGGACACAGAAGACATTGAGTGGGAAGGAGGTGAATCTCAAAGTGGCTCTCATGATTCTCATGTATTTCATTCACCAAACACTTATTGTTTACCTATATTATTCCAGGTACTATAACAAGGATATCACAAAACTTGGTAAAAAATGTCAACTTGACCAATGAATATCTTTTCACTGTTTTTTTAATTATGAAAGAATTTAATCACAGAAAATAACTGACATCCCTGCACCTACCATCAAGACAAAATCTTAAAGTTTTGTCATATTTGCTTCAAATATTTTTGTCAAGGAAAATAAAATGTTACAGATATGGCCAAAATCCTATTGTCCTGAAGCCAGAAGTCATTATATGTATGAAGTTTGGGGCTTCTTTTCCCTACATGTTTCCCATGCATGGTTTATATTTTCCTACATATGTATATATTCATAAATATTTTAGGAAAATTTTACATAAATGACACTATGCTGAACCTTTCTTTTGCAACTTGCCTTTTCATTCAACATTATGTTTCTGAGATTTATCCAGATGGGCAGTCCATTCGTTTTAATTGTTGCAATTTATCCTATTGTGCAAATATACCTACTGAGGGACAGTTTGTTTATGCGTTTGTTTGCTTAATATGCTTTTTCACTGTCATAAATGTTTTTGCAGAAAATATTCTTATTTTTGTCTCTTTGTGCATATATGCAAGAGCTCTCTTAGTTTGACACATAGCAGAATTGCTAGGGGATAATTACATTTGCCAGTTGTTTTCTGCTGCATTATAGAAGCAACCTTGATATTTGTATATCAATTTCTTTGAAGAAATTTTAAAAACCTCTATTATTAATTTTATGAGTATGTCATATATTCTGTAGTTTTTTTTCAGACAATTACATCATCTATAAGTGGCAGCAGATTTATTTCTTCTTTTCCAATTGTCATGTTTTTTACTTTTTTGCCTTGTCTTATTGCTTTGGTTAAGAACTCCCCTGTAACGTTGGATAGAGGCAGTGGTAGAAAACATCTTTGCCTTGTTGCCGACTTTAAAGAAAATATTTCAAGTGTTTTACTATTGAATTATGAATAAACGTGGATTTTTACTTTTTTCTTGCTCCCTACCATCATCTACTTTGGATTACTTAATTTGGTTTAATCCCCTATTTCCTTCCTTTATTGGTTAAAAATTATATTTCTTTTTTTAAATTACTTTAAAATTTTAAATATACATATTTGACAACACAAACTGAAGTTCATCAATAGCTCCATGATTCTCTTAAACAATCAATGACCATTCTTTGGCTACTTCGAGCTCTTATATGTCATCCTTCATTTTTATATTTTCCTTAAAATTTTCACCTTTTTTTCAGTTGGGCTTCTTTGAATTTACCTGTATTCATCAGTTTCTTTGCTTACTATTCCTCTCCTACTGTAATTTGCTCATGAAGTTTATCCTTTAGCAATCCTTTCAGCAAGAGTCTAGTACTGTTGATGAAGAGATTCCAATTCTGAAGAGATTTATTGTGAGCTAAATATGAGTGACCACGCCCTGTGACACAGCCTGCAGGAGACCCTCAGAACATGTGCTCAAAGTGGTCAGGGTGAAGCTTGGTTTCATACATTTTAGGGAAATATGAGACATCAATCAAATACATTTAAGATATACATTGGTTTGATCCAGAAAGTGGAACAATCTGAAGGGGAGAGCTTTCAGGTTATAGGTAGATTTAAAAATTTTCTGATTGGCAATTTGTTGAAAGAGTCATTATCAATAGAAAGGAATGTCCGGTTTGATAAGAGGTTATGGAGACCAAAATTTTATCATACAGATGAAGCCTCCAGGTAGCAGGCTCCAGAGAGAATAGACTGTAAATGTTTCTTATCACACTTAAAGTCTGTGTAGATGGTAAACGCTGGTCAACTTTTCCTGAATTCCAAAAGGGAGGAGGGTATAATGAGGCATGTCTGACCCTCCAACTTTGTCATGAGTTGGGGGGTTAAATCCTCCACCTCTTTTGGTGCTCTGAAATTTCAATATAATATGTCTAAGTGTGAATTTATACTAGCTAGGACTTATTGTGTATCCTGAATATTAAGTCATGTTTGTCACTAATTCTGTAAAACTCTCAACCATTGCTGCTTCAAATATCTTTTCTGCAACATCTATGTGTATCTTCTCATTCTTTCACTCCATCTCTTAGCCCATCTCGTTGCTGCTTTTTAATTTCCAGAAATTCTGTGTGTTTTTAAAATTATTTTTATAGTGTCATTTTCTGTGCTTATGGTTTTAGTTTGTCTTTAATTATATCAAATGCAATTATGTATTTTCAGATTGTCCTATTATCTGAAAATATTGGCACTCTGATCCTCCTGTTGGTTGTGTCTGCTTTCTTTAGCTCATGGTGGACTGTTTCCTTATATTTGTGGTTTTTGTTTAGCTCCAGTTTAGCCGAGCTTACTTCTTCTGTAAGGTTCATGTAGACCTTAGGTGTTGAGAGTATCACTTTGGAGGAATTTTGCATAAATGTTTGTTGCCCTTGGGTTTAATTTCTATATTCAGCAACCAAACTTGTAAAGTCTCAAACGTATCGTCAAAGTTGATCTTTCCTTGTAGTCTTCCTATACCAACAGGTGGATTATATAGAACACTTTCAGTTTACCTGTGAATTGAAAGGGAAGGTGAGAGGGATAACCATTGTTTGTAGGTATTTGCAGTGGAATGTTTTCATGCCATTTTTGTTTCATGAATACATTCATTCATTCATTCCACAAACACTTATTCAGTAACTACATTTTTCCCCAAGGCATTATGTCTTTTGCCATTTTGGATACTTTACATAGTAACTATCCTTCTGTAACTTGGATCTCACTAAGTTCTTCATAGAGCCGGGACTGTTGGGCCATGCTTGAAATGTGTGTGACAGATCCAGGGTGGTAATGAGACATATAAGCTGCTCATAGTGGAATGCTGATGTGCATTTTCTTGGTGATTTTAATTGTATGAGCAGAGTTTTGACTTGGGGATGTTTTGTTTATTTGTGGCAGTTGGTGGGGAGAACAGATGCCAACCAGCCTCTACAATTCAAAGTTGCTGATGACTGAGGAGCCTGCCTGGGACTCACCCAGAAGGCTGAAATAGTGGTAGAGAAGCTGCCTGACAATACAGCAGGCAACATAAAAGGTCTTATGGGGACCACAAGTCAGGAGCAGCATTGCCCCTGGTAATCCTTGAATTTCTTATAGACCAAAAGGAAAAGTTAAGATGCCACTGGAGAGAGAACAAAGTTTGTAGATTACAAGAGCACCTACAGGGAAAAGCTGAAAGGGAGAGGATTAACAGTGGGAGGAAAGCAGAATGGATCAAGAAGTATATGTAATGGACATGGCAGGCAGTTCTGAAAACCAAATCCTTGAATGACAGACATTCAGAAAAATTTCTCTTTTGTACATCTCCCAGTCTCAGCTGATCTTGAATTGTAGCTTGTAGTCCTGGCCAGATCCCTTAAAAATAGGATAGTGATTTTAAAAGCCAGGATATAAACTTTTCTATCACTTTTCAGACAGAATCGCTAAAATTTCAAGGTAGTCCACAATGATATTTCTGGCTGACAGGTCATAGCTCTTTACTGCTCTGGTTCTACCAGAGCAAGCTGAAACAATGCTGAGCCAGACAAAAGCTAGAGAAGTCAGATGGTGCAGGAAAAGGAGAAAATTGACAATCTTTAATGAACATGAGGACATCTATTTTCTCATCATTTTTTCTCCTTAAACTCATAACATTACTTTTTGTTAGAATAAAGGTACTTAAACATACCTCAAAAATTAAAAAGAGATAAAATTCAAATAGTCTGTGATTTTCATTCTTAGTCCTTTTTCCCTTCCTTCTGCCTTCCCTTCTTCCTTCTCTCCCGTTCCACTTCTGTTACTCTTTCTCTCTTCCTGTTTTCTTCCTCCTTCCTTTTTTTCACTGTCATTTCAGCAAAACTTCTCATGCTTGAGACTTTTTTTGTAAAAAGGACTTCTCTGAGGAAAAACACATTCTAATTGGTGAGTGAAACATCTGAAAAACAGGAATGTAAACTTCCTGAGGTCTCTCATGCCTTCTCACAGCTAATACCAGGCATATTTTCCAAAATGCTTAAGACTGAGATGCCCTGTTTGACAGATATTCCCAGACATCAGTGGATTCCTCTCAAGAAAATTTTACCGTGTTCTCTATGAAACCATTAATAACTCAGCCAAGTCTCTTTTATATATATTTGTGCTAATAGCAACTCTAAGTGGAGCTTAGTTACCATAGCAGACAATATTAAGTACCAGGAATTGGACAGAATGAATGAAGTTGTTGTTTGATGTGTACAGGTCTGACAGTTTTATCATTTTGATGGTTGCTCATACTTGCAATTTTTATTGCCTATTTTTGACAACTCAATTTTCTCAGCTTGAACCTAGCAGGTGATTGTTATAAATTGCAGACTGCAGATAAATAATATGAAGTTCAGCAAGAACTTGATGATTTCGAGTGTCTTTCTCTGGGGCCAGAACTTAAAGAATTCCATATCATCACTTTTGGACATTGAATACCATTTCAATGTTTCCCTTATTTTGTGTGTCTCAGGTTTTGAAAAACGAATTTCTCTTGGCCTTGCTTTTGGCCCTTTACTTGCAGGTGCCCAAATTCAGCAGTGCTGACTGCCCTGTTCCTGAGACTTAGATTGCAACTCTTACATTTTTACATTTAAGTAACATTGAAAGCTTTTTCTCTAAAGAAGCAAAAGAGGCTTTTTAAAAACTCTGCTAGATCTTATTAAAGTATCATAATTTTATCCTTATATAGAATGAGTGAGAAGAGAAAACAATTTGATGTCAAAAGCACAGAGTTTGAGTCCTGGCTCTGCCATTTATTGCTAGTATAAACTTGGGGAATTTCTTTGGACCCCAATTGCTTCATCTGTGAAATGGAAATAAAAATGACTTCCTTATGGGAACTTCAAGGGGGGAAAAAAAACGTGGCTGTACCTGAATGTGCTTGCCAAGAGGTAGGTGGTTATAAATGTTAACATGAAAATAATGAAAAACAACAGCTTCTACCCAATATAAAACAACAAATTTGAAAAGAAAACCAATGAAACACACACACACATACACACATACACATACAACCTTGATAGTAAGAGAGGGACTCTGCATAGTTTAATCCCTAGAAATGTGACATTGCTGGGCTTGAATATTTTTATAATATATATTAAGGTGGTTACTGAATAAGGCTTCAAACAAAGTAATAAAAATTTTTGAGAGTATTTTAAATTGCAATGACAAATATAAAGTACTTCTGCATGCATTTTCTTACTTAAACATCATTTGACTAGTGTTTGCAATATCAGAATGAGGACAATACCAATATTCAAGTATCTATTTTTCATGGTATTGAAATATCAGTGCTAAGTTCTAAAATGAGCTATGGTTTCCAGCACCCTTTATCCTTGTCTTTAGATGCTCTTCCAATTGAGTGAGGGTTCCTCTGTTCTTCAGAATTGAGGCTCTACAAGTAGAGTATTTTGAGATATAGTCCACTCTTAAATTGTCACAAAGAAGAGAAGAGAATGTAGGACTAAGAAAATGGGTCTGGCACTGGAGGACAAGGAATCAGGAGAGAAGGAAATACTGCTCTCACAGAAATCAGGGGGTTAGACTCCAAGGGAAGGACTGGGAGTTGAGCATGGAAATATCCCACCCCCTGTCTTTCTGTAATTCCCCTACTATCCCCTTTTCCTATATTCCTTAATGGTTCATCCTTCTCTCCCCATCCTGCCCTTTCAGAGATAATAAAGACCCAATCTGACTCTGGGAGTGGGGCGGGAAATACAAATCTCATAAGTATAAGATATACAGCCTCACTAGTAATCTATAAAATGGTAATGATAACTGTAACATACCATGGAAACATTTTGAATGAGAAGGGATAAGGTCAGAATGAAAGTGCCTTTGCTCTTGTCAACATTTTGATGAACTAGATAAATCTGCACATATCTTAAGATATATTATTCAGGTTTCAGATTTTTTATGTCCCCAAAATTGGTGTTATATCATTAAATACACCATATTTGACATTTGTATGGTATTTTAGTATAAAACTGGAGTACTGAAAAAATCAATAGGATAATATTGACCCTATGCAATAGAAATTCATCTTCACTTTTTAAATTTCAAATGAAAAGGTATAGAGGAGCTAATTGATTTACTTAAGGCTACATTGCCAATAGATGTTACACTTGAGATTTAAATGTAACATAAATGCAACTCTTATATTCCTTCCACTACAAATATGTAGGCATAATTATTGGTCTCAGAGTCACATTCAGGAAGTCAACTTTCTCCACTGGATAACAAAGATAGAGTAAGGAAGTCCTTTCTGATATGTTCAGACATACAGAAATGTTGAAATATGAGACTTCTACAATCTGCCCTCCTTTAAGAGCTTAAAGAATATTTTTACATTTTAATCCAGGTAAATCTCAACTATCTGGAACTCTGGATACAGGCTCATTTTGTTTGATGGAGGTTTAGCTGATAATCAGAAAACTCCTTTGACGTCTATAACTGTTAAGTAACATTCTTTTAAAAACGTATTTTGAGTGATTTCAAGCATATTCTATATAATAAAACATAATTTAATAATTGCTCAAGTACTTACAACCCAGCTATATAAAATCTTAACATTTTGACATTATTTAGTTCAGATTTAAAATAAAATAATAAAAGCATAACTGATATAGTTGAAGCTCCCATGAACCCTTCCATACAGGGTCTTGTCTTCCTCTTTGCCTCTCCAGTGATCATCACCAAACTGAATTTGATGCATGTAGTTTTCTAAGATTTGAACAATTTTCTAAAATGTGTTTACTTTGTGCCTTAAAAAGTTCAAAATGCTGACCGGGCGTGGTGGCTCACACCTGTAATCCTCGCACTTTGGGAGGCCGAGGTGGGCAGATCACCTGAGGTCAAGAGTTTGAGATCAGCCTGACCAACATGGAGAAACCCCGTTTCTACTAAAAATACAAAAAATTAGCCAGGCATGGTGGTGCACGCCTGTAATCTCAGCTACTTGGGAGGCTGAGGCAGTAGAATCGCTTGAACCCGGGAGGCGGAGGTTGCGGTGAGCCGAGATAGAGCGCCGTTGCACTCCAGCCTGGGCAACAAGAGTGAAACTCCATCTCAAAAAAAAAAAAAAAAGTTAAAACGCTGAGTGCAATTACATGTAGTTTTTTAAATAAGGTATTGACCACAGGTTGTGATTGTAGGCTATCATAGTTGCAGATGTTAGGAAATTGGACCAAATACATATATTGACCCAGGCTAAATATTCTAAATTGGCATTTTAAAATAGTCTCTGCTAAAACTGACCTTAATAATTAGTATGCGATAGTTTTGCCATAATAACAGACTATGCCTAAATCTCAGTGGCTTAACATATCACAGGCTGATTTCTGACACTGCCAGTCCCATGTGTGTTGGTTTGAGAGCTTGCTCATCACAATCACTCAGGGACCCATCCTGTTGGTATCTGCATCTCAACAAGCTTTTACGGTCACTCTGGTAAAGGGAAACAAACAAACATGGTGATTCACAACACAGGCTTTTATAGCTTCATATTTAATTGATATAGGTCAGTTCCACTCACATTTCGTTAGCCAAAGCAATGGAAATGTGGCCATGCCCCACTTCAAAGAGAGTAGGGAATTGCATTCCACAAATATATTGAAGGGAACGAGATTCTTTATAGCCTAAATGATTACCACAGTTCCCTCATGGTTTAATGTCTTCCTACTGAAAAGTAAGTCCCAAATCATCCAGATAATAAAAGGTTTTACTTAGACATATTCTATTTCATAAAGGCATTTGCATGTGCTTGCTGGGTTTTTTATTCATTAAATAATTTATATAGTAAGTGGTGCTGATAGCATTCCCTGTCACTAAAGAGTTCAAGCAGAGACCAGTTTGCCAAGTGGTAGGAGGCTGAAGAGAAGATTCTAGTACTACGTGAGTGACTGGACTAGGAGACCATTAACATTTCCTTATGACTCTGAATACCTGTCATTCCAAAGATGACAGTCCTAGTGACAACCATATATACTGAAGTATCTGGCATCTCCCAGCTTCTACCCCAGCTTTCCTCAATCTGCCACCTGCTTTGTGTTGTTTTCCAGACCACCTTGTTCCTATGCTGTATACCATGTGGTAACATCACGTGTTCCCTGTGAATTTCCCTGAGAATTAGCATTACAGTACTTTAAACCAAGCATTCTTCATAACGTTGAATGAATATACCAATACTTTAATCTTCATAGAATTTTACATTCTTGCCTTCCCTCATGGAGCATAAGCCCAGGCAACCATTCCAAGATAATGGCAGACTCTGAAGTGAACATACTATATTTGTAAGAACTATAAAAGATAGCATCTTGTCTAATGCAGTGTATTATTTTGCACAGGTAGCTGGTAAATTCATTCTTTGCTTTGTGATGCATTTTTCTGTCACTGAATTAATCCCTCTTTGAATATAATATCAACCAGTCTAGACCATCATTGATATGTGTGGCTGGCCAAGGTATTAGAATTTCTCTTGAATCTTAATTCCAAAATTACATGAAGCATAATTTCTAAGCTAATGCAGTGCTATAATAATTTAAGACAACTGCCATTCCAATCTATCTTGGAGCCTATAAAAACAGACTTTATAGGAAGTCTGCTTTTAAGAGGATGAAATATAAAATGGCAGTCTGTTGAGAGAGTAGCTTGGCAATGTTTAGCAAAATTTTCAAGACTTTGTATTCTTTTTAGACCCCAAAAGAACACTCCTAATAATCTATCTTACAGAAATAATCATGAATATGACAGATTTTACTGCAAGATAATTTATCACAAAATTGTTAATAATTATGAAAAATAAAATTCCTGATACTAAACTACAGAGTATTGGTTTTAAAATTCTTGTCCCTTTATATAGTGGACCACTATGCATTGATTAAAGAATTATATTGTTGGCCGGACGCGGCGGCTCACGCCTGTAATCCCAGCACTTTGGGAGGCCGAGGCGGGCGGATCACGAGGTCAGGAGATTGAGACCATCCTGGCTAACACGGTGAAACCACGTCTCTACTAAAAATATAAAAACAAAATTAGCTGGGCGTGGTGGCGGGTGCCTGTAGTCCCAGCTACTTGGGAGGCTGAGGCGGGAGAATGGCGTGAACCCGGGAGGCAGAGCTTGCAGTGAGCCGAGATCGGGCCACTGCACTCCAGCCTGGGCGACAGAGCAAGACTCTGTCTCAAAAAAAAAAAAAAATTGTTAAAGATTTAGCCTCGTGAGGAAATATTCAAATTAGATAGTTATGTGAATGCGGGAGGGAATGGCTTCAAAGCAGTATGTAATCTGAGTTTCCCCAGGCTTCGCCAGTACATGAATCTAGATGACAGTCATGGTATCAGTAAGAATTAAAACACCAGCATCTATTGCTCAGACCTGTTCACAGAGGATTCCAACAGCTCTACACAATTGCCAGGTTGAGCCTGAGATTTTCATCTGTGTTCATGAAGCAGTCTCTTGCCTTGTTACCCAGAGAACTAGCCACCTTTTTCTTTGTCAATTTTGGTCACGCGTATCTGTTTCCTCAAGCAAAGAAACCATGTAAAGTTGCCTCACCCTGCCATTGCTAGCGTTACTCACAGGAAGTATGCTAATATTGACCCACTAGTATTATACTTTCTCCACACAGAGCCGGGAAGAAGCCCTGCTCCCAAACTTGATGTCTCACTGTCACCTGAACATCAGTGGGGTGCTGTGTCTTAAGGGCAAATATTTAAGGCAGACTTCCATGTCTTTCCTACTATCATTTTTTCTTCTACTTTCTCTATGCAGATTAATTCATAAAAATGGCTTTTGTGAACCATCAGACTCACTAACTTCTCAGATATGCCAGGTGTGTTGGTCATGGCAATAGATATTGCAGGCTCCAAGCCAGATAACCTCTCCAGTCCAACCGGGCAAGACAGATGTAAAATGTGATGCCTTTTTGGAACTATGTGCCTATCAAGTGTATGCCTATAAAGAAAAGGTATGCACCAAAATCAGTGTCTGTTTCTGGGTGTTGGGATTAAAAACACATTTTCTGCGTTGAACTTGTATTACTTTTTATCAGAAGAAATAAAATAACTATGTTTAAAGACTGCATTAAATTATTGATGTGTGTAGTATGAAATACAGAATTCTTTATACAAAGTTACAGACTGGTTATGTCTTCTGCAATTTGAAAACTATTTATATTCACAAAAGATCCAAAGACATATCATTTCTCAAAGCACAATAGAAATAATGAGAGTTGCTCTTTCTAATACCCAATTGTTTTTACAAGACATTCTATGTGGTTTTCACCAGTGCCAAGCCTTAGGGAGTATGACTATAAATAATTATACTCACATTTCACTTGTCAGTCTTGTTTAGGAAAATAAATAATACTTGAGTACTCTGAATTTCTTTTATTTTAGATTAATAAATTGTTCATTATGTAAAATAGTTTTCCTTATCTTCAGTCTTAGTACTATATTTTCTACATATACTTGTGTATGTAGCTCTGGCCAGCATACCCACTGATACTCAGTCTTTGTGGTGCATGTACATCAGTAAACAATCTGTGCCCTACTCCCATCCCCATGAACCTACCACCACTAAAAACATCCCTCCCCACAGTTAATGATAAAAGCATAGACTCTTAGAGCTACATGGGGCCTTAGATCACTTATGCAAATCCCTCGTTTCAGATAACGTAACAGGTTCATAGAGGTTAAGTAACTTGTCTAAGATCATACAACTGATTATTAACGGAGTCACAACCAAACCTGCAGGTCTTGATTCTGTCCTAATCAATGACAAATTTCATACTCAAAAATTTCAAAAACATAACTATAAAACTTATTTCAGAATGTTTATAGCAAGAATGATTTCATAATGGGCAGTGTGGTGTATCTTCACATACATAACATGATGAGAGGTGGAGCCTTCAAGATTAGGAGAGCCTAGGGTCTGCAAAGATCCTACAGGAGCTTCCAGTCACCTGTCTGAAGGGGTCAGGAAAGCCAACCAGAGGAATTTACATGTAGACCAATACCTGAAGACGGTGAGGTGGTATTCAAGTGAAGGCATAGGCTCATGGGAGAAGGGCTTCAGAAGGAAAGGATAGTGTGGCATGGACCAAGACCTATAAAGGTACTGAGAATTTGAAGAGCTAAAAGAGTTTCAAGGCTGGAGCTTAGAGGATGAGACAGGGAGTAGTGACAGAGGAGACTGGCAAGGTAGGCAGAGGCCAAATCATGCAGTAACTTGCAGGCCAGATTATGCAGTGTATTTATCGTAAGGGCTTTGGGAAACAAGAGCATTCTTGAATATTTTGAGTTTAGACCTTACCTGGTGATATGAGATCACAGAAGTGGTGCTGAGAACCTGGAGCCATGGAAAGGAGACATGAGCTGAGATTTTCACTATATACAATAGATACCATATTCCTTCAGACTGCAGAATATCTTTCTCACAGGGGAACAAGTGTCATGGCCCCAGTGCTCTCACTGCCCACTTTCCGTAATACATAGTAGACAGATAAAAATGTGAAAGGAACTCAGTTATTGAAAAACTTCTGAATATAAGGGACTGCATTCTGAACGACTATGTCACCCTTTCTTATAACTCAGGAAACTTAAAAACACAATCTCAATGGTTGGCCTAACTTTGATACTTTGCAAAGCTGCTTTAGTTTATCTGCTAGTCCCTGTGGCAGGGGCTTGAAAATATTTTCCCAAGATTTCTAACCAGCATATGTAAGTACAATAACTTTATTCTCTGTCCTAATGTCAACTCTTCTGTCCTATTTTCCCCATAAATTTACTCCTTCAGCAGACCATGTGTTAGAAAAATGCGGTCACTCTAGCATAAGGGTATCTGATACTTTTTCTCCTGATGCATGATCTGTTGGATATAAAAGTGATTTGTTTCCCCATATAAATGATTTTTCAGAATTGGACTGGCAAAGTGTTAACTCATCCATATACTCATTATATTTTCTTTAGGAGCAACAGCTTATATTTGAGGACTGAGACACAGAAAAATAAGGTACATCTATGCCTGAGATAGAGATCTTTATCTCTGAGGTACTAGTTAGCCTGTATGGAGATTCATTAATAGCCTTTGGTTTCACTAGCACACTTTTTTCATACTGCAGCACACAGACCACCTGCTTTGGAGTGATTGGAGTTCTTGTTAAAATTCTGAACCCAACCACTGATTTTAATCAGAATGGGACGAAACTAGAGATTTGCATTTTATAAGTTTTCAGGTCATTCCAGTAAAGCTTGAGAACTAAATGAATAAAGAACCTCACTGTGGGAAGGTACACCAGTAGAGTGTGGGAGATGCTCATTTTCTCATGATCTATCCCCAGGGGCCTTGCAAACAGTTCTGGAACAGATAGGATTCTCTGTCCTCTGCCTGAGGCTGTTCTCCAGCTGTAGGAACATGCTAGGGCAACAAATAGACTATAATTGACGGGGCATTGGCAGGCTCAGGAGCAGTCCTCAACTAAAGAAGGAGGGGTGATGGTAGATAAATAATCCAGCTTCCTCATTCCTCAGTGGGACAATTCACAGGAGTTTGATATAGTCTCTGAGAGGGTACCAGCAAAATAGAATGCCAGTTGCCCATAGTGATAACACACTCATTAATGGACCTCATTGGCTTCCCTCCCTTTCCCATCCTATCCCATCCCTTTGGGAAGTGATCCCATCCAACATGTTTCCTGGGATCACTTCACAAATAAAGTGCTTACACCCACATCATTGTTTCAAAGTTCACTTTATGGGAAACCCAGTAAGGCAGAGAATACATACAGAGTGGAAAAACTTTATTCTAACAAAACTAGGTGATACGATTTGAAGGATAGAGGGCTAAAACAATTTTTAAAGAGATTTGAATTAAATCTGAGAGCTATGTGATCCAGGGTACTTATTACCTAATTAAAACTAAGTCAGTGTAGACAATTTCATTTTGTTTATTTTTCATGTTGTATGCCATTATTTCTGTGTAGGTCCCCATCCTTCTGTGAAATTTAATGGGTTCCACATCCTACCCAACCAACGCATTTTAATCATTTGATATTAAACCCTGCAACTTTTCCTTGAGAACATCTTCAGATTTTCTGGGGATAAATGTTTGGTATACATTGCATAGAATGTAGATAACTTAAAAATTCATTAATTTTCTTTTGATAGTAGATAAAATAATCACAGAAAAAAAGTAAAGACTCATTTTCCCTGGAACTACATGTTATTAGACCCAATTTCCCAATCTGTTTGTGCTGCTATAAGAAAATATATGAGCCTGAGTAAATCATAAAAAACAGAAAAGTATTTTTCATGGTTCTGGAGGCTGGAAAGTCCAAGAACAAGGTGCCAGCAAAGTATTTTTCACGGTTCTGGGGACTGGGAATTCCACGGTCAAGCTTGTCTGGTAAGGGCTGCATCCTCTGGAGGGGACAAACACCATGTCCTCACATGACAGGACAAAAGGCCAAGACAGCTGAATGCTGTATGAAGCCTCTTTCATAAGGACCTAAATTCTATTTATGAGAGAGGAGCCCTCATAGTCTAATCACCTTTTAAAGATCCCATCTCTCAATACTACCACTTTGGCCATTAAGTTTCAACACCTGAACTTTGGAGGAGACATATTGAAACCATTAGCACCTAATAATTGCAACTCTGTACTGTTAAAATATAAGTTCCTCTTAGCTGATATTTCCTCAGACTCTTCTTTGGCATCTCCTAAGATGAAACACTTTGAAGCTAAAATATAGTATGCTTTATTTTCAGCTCTGGAGTAAGACAGCATGGTATTTTAGGGAAAGTTTGGATTTGAGGGTCTGACAAAATATCTGTGTGACCTTCAGCAGGTTACTGACCATCTCGGACTTTCAGTTTTCTAAACTATAAAAAGGTAATAATGATAATACCTGCTTTACTAGCCTGTTTTCAGAGTTAAATAGAGTTTTTAAGGTGCCTAGAACCTGGCAGGCTACATTCTCAGTAATCATTAGCTTACAAGACAATCCAGCTAGAGCAAATATGAAAAAGCTAGCCTTGTATCAGTTCACGGGTATTCTTCAGGTTTCTTATCACATAGTTTTATTCAACTTGCTCTATTATGTCATTTATTCAACAACTCATCTTGGGTTAAGAGTTATTTATAGGATTCTGTGTGGTGAACGTCTGTGACCTGCAAACATGTGATTGACTTTGGCATGATTCCTAGCTCAAGTGAAAGCTCAAAGGGCTGGCTTCTCAACCTAATGACATACACAGAATTTATTCAGTTTGTTTGCTTCCCACAGAAATTAGCATACTTTGACATAACTGAATGAAAAGAAAAAACAGATAGTTTTGACTCTCTTCAAACACAAGATGCAAAATAGGGAATTAATCAGGTCCAACCAGTTTGGAGGTTTATGTGACCACTCTTGCCACTAAAAAACAAGAAGTTGCATGAAATTTTTCCCTTTGGATCGGTCATGCAAATTTGCATTGTATAAGCAATCACAAATTCTGTGACACATGCTTCCAAGGAAAATTAAGACCTTGGTTGGTTGTTTAATGTGCATAATGTGACTGCTTAGCGTATTTGAGAATGTCATGCTATAGAGAATTTCATGGTAAGTTCTTATTGGCAAATTCTGTTCACTGTGGGAATCCTTTATTTGTGAAAATATTTTTATCACATACATCCCTTATCCTCCAAAAATATTTTGTCTTCTCTTGTCTTACCTATGTGGTTGCATATTTAGAAGTCTAGTTATCCCTCCCTGGCCTCAACCTTTTGAGGGCTGGGGTAATATCATTTCCATCTTCATATCCCTCAAGGCTTGCTATTGAACAGTTATGTGCACAAAGCATATGCTTGTCTTAGACTGGATTCCTCCAGAAGCCAACCGTAAAATGAGGATTTGAATGCAAGTAGTTTATCTGGGTGGTAATCCCAGAAAGTACTATAGAGAGCACAGAAATGGAAAAGAAATGAAGCTGATACAGGGTGCATTAAAGAGCACCTCTCATTGTGGAGAAATGGGGCTCTGTGCATGCTAGGGATTTCTAGAAGGCTGCCAGAATATGCCTCAGCATTCTCCCAGCTGAGGGGCAAGAAAGCTGGAATATCTGTCATATGGTAGCTACATTGTTGTTTGAGGTTTATTCCCAGAGGCATTGAATTTTGGGTACTTTGGCCAGCCTTGCATATAGTCAGTGTACTTCTGAATCTCAGAAAACCCTCAGGCACAGATTCGCTCTTGTAAGAAAATGGTGAGTACCAAGGGACTAGGGCAGGGCACTAGCTGCCTCTGCAGTAATGCTCAATAAACTCCTATTGCACAGAATTGAATGGAAGTTGCTGAGAGCTATAAGAAATATCAAATAATCCCAAGACCTCAAATCATCGATTTTTTACAAACCTCTTGCAGATACATGTTTTAAACAGTATCAACTCTGTCATTACTAAATGATTTGGGGGCAGTGCCACCTCTAAATGCAGTGAGGCAGTTTTTCTTCAGACACAGTATTCTTTCACATTATTGGTATGTCTTCTATAACCAGGCTATGTTACAGATGGAGCAAGATGGAGCAATAAAAGTATTAGATTGGTGCAAAAGTAATTGCTGTTTTTGCCATTACTTTTAAAGCATAACTTTTATGCTCTTTAAACCAAGCTATATAGGATTTAAGCAGAGACCTTAGGGGGGGAAAAAGACTTTATGGTCCTTTGGAAACAGTGCTGGGCCAGGAATCAGGGAATTTGGATTTTCATCTTCATTCTTGTGTAAACTTGTAGCCATATGGCCTTGAAGAAATCACTTTGAAGCTTCTAGACTTCATTTTGCTCATCTGTAAAATGTACATATTGAACACTTAAGGTTTCTTCCAGATTCAAGCATAATGATCCTATGAAATAAGGCAATGGGACTTATAAAATTTATGTGGATCTAGTAGAAATTGGGAGGAAAAAAATGGACATCTGTGCAAACACATATATCTATGTGTGATGTGTATATATATGTCTATATACACATTAGATACATTATATATCTATATACACATTATATAGATATGTTATATATCTATCTATATATATAGACAGATATATAACTTCAGAAGTTATTTTTACTCTAAAATTAAAAGACAAATTTTATGGCATTCAGAATGTGATTTGCAAATTTTTTTTCTCTTTTTTCCTGAAAGCAAATATTCTCTACCACTTGGAAATGAGAATGTGTTTTCCATGTAGGATCAGAATAGGGAAAGGAATTTGAGAAAGAGTTATGTCTTTGTTTTTCTTATTACTGGCCTGATTAAGTGGTCTGTAAAGATAAATATCAGTGGAAACTTTGTGTGGATGTACTAAGATTGCTTCCCCTGTAACGCAAGTTTCTCTTCATTTCCCATTAGTCTTCAGAATTATACCAGTATAAAAGGATTCCCTATCTTTTAGTGTTGCAGTTTACTGAGTTAACCTAAGCTTGGTCTCATAACCCAATATAAATGCAAGATTTTTTGTTATTTGTTTTCAAGAGGTAGAGTGGTGTGAAAGGGGTAGTAGCAACCAGCTCAAGCCCATTGGAGATTTGTAGGGCTCACCTGCCCCAACCTCTATTTCCTAGAGGACTTTATGTCACACTATGAATAAGGGAAATCAGGAGTTTCAAGATAAGCATGAAAATCATATTGTACTGGAGATGGCAAAGAAAAGGCAATTCACATTCTAGACCAGCACTAAACCCAATCATCTCTGGCTTTGACCTTCCCACCTGGATCCTCTCCACCTGAATGCCTAGGCTTTGCTGATGTTTAGGTGAAGATGCTGAGTATGATTAGCTCTGATTTTAAGTTCCAGCCAGCCATATTGATGAGCATTCTGCAGCTGCTGTTTCCGTATATTGAGAAAGCAAAGCCACGGTTGGGCTCTTCTGTTAGGGCTTGGCTACTGTGTGCACTTCCCTGGAGACCAACCCCACTCCAAACTGGGTCTTGAGGGCTCTGGGAGTACTGAATGGATTTCTAAGCTTCTCTAGTATCTCTAAGGTGTTGGTATTTTCTTACTGGGCTACTATGAATGAGATCCCAAAAGACCTGCCAGTCAAATTCAACTTTCAACTTTTTAAGAACTGAGAACATTTAGGTATATGAGATGCTCACCCCAGTCCAGTCTAGTCTACCACAAATTAAAGTGAGTAAGACTCAATTTTACTAGGGTCCCTGAAAGAAGTTTAGGTTCTATCTTTGGAGAGAAGGTTTGTGTATATGGTGTGGACGGGGAGGGGGAGGGAAATGGGGAGGAGAAATGTGGTAACCAACTCATTCTATAGTTGCATGTGGATTTTATTTTTGTACCCTTTAAGGTACTCATGTCTCAAAGTTTTAAGTCCCTATTAGAAGAAAGAATGGAGTCATTACTGCTCACAAAATCCTTATGTATCTATTAGGGGGCTTCATAAGATCAATGCATGCTTTTATTTCTTTTGGCAGGTATCTTACTCTACCCTGAAGGCATTAGAGCAGTGGTTTTAAAACTTCAGTATGCATGAGAATCACTAGGAGAGTTAAAAAATGTAGATTCCTGATTCTCCTCTCAAAGACCAGATTCAGGAAAAGCGGTTGATTAGAAATTTAAATTTTAAATAATTGCCCCACCTGATGCTAAATGCTGTTGGCAGGTGGATCTTATTTTTTGAGAAAAACTATTTTAGAGAAGCTCATATGATGTTTTTGAAAAATCTCTTCACCTAGAAGGGGCCTTGTCAATGCCAGAAATTGGATGTTTCTAAGAAGACATAAATCATGAATAAGTAATGCATTGCTATCTACAGGAAAATAAATAGTAGGTATGAGATGTTCATCTGAAAGTCGTTGTTATTTGGGGACATCATATGTATTTAAACATTTTGTTTTGTATGTTCACCTTTTTTTGATGTTCATAAAGTTTACATTGACAAATTTCCTTTAGGTATGGCAAATATAACCACTTAAGAGCTCTGTCATGTCATAGACTAGCCTGCAACCTTAAAACTGTTCAATCAGATTTTATGTAACAAACATTTATTAAATACCTACTTATTGAAACTTTTCTTTATGCTGGGCCGTATGCCAGGCACTGAAGTGATATCATATTTGAACTCTCCTGTAAATGGTCTATGAGTGTCCTGTACTTACAGGCTTGTGTAAAATAGCACAGGTTCAGACAAACATGAGTTTTACTAAAGCAAAGAGGTGCTGCTTACTTAGTTTTAGTCAGCTTAGTTATCATAATCTTTCCTATAACTGGGAAGAAGGATATGATCTATATCTCCTCAGAGAGACTGTCAACTGATGGTGGGAAGAGGGTAAGACAGTCATGAGGGTGGGGAGAGTGTGCCCACAAATTATACCATCACAGTGCCCCAAAGATTCTGGCAAATGGGAGAATTGTTAAAGTCTTAGTGAATACAGAATTTAGGGGAACTAGCTCATTTCTCAAAAATGATGGGATTGAAAAAGATTTTAAAACTATTGACCTGTAATGATTTCGGGAGGCATTTTTAAACTTAGGACTTTGTAAATACAACAATTATCTGTGAATGTTTGAATCCATACTCATACTCAGGACAGGAAGATATTCAGGACCAAGTCTTGTGACATACACAATACACATGTGATTTCCAGGTTCATACTCTCAACCTGATGGTTAACTTTCTGGAAGTTCTCCTTTGAGTACAGATTATGCTGTAGGACTATATCTGAAAATGCATAGTAAAATGCCTGCTGTTTTGATCTATTAACCCTAGACTCCATTTGTTCTACTCTGCAGCCTGAGCTTTCTCCCAGAGTCTGAGCTCTCTGCTTGCTGTTTAGGTGCCTTTTCTGTTCTGTGCTTTTGAGTTGTGGGCACATTGCCCAACCCTCTCTTGATCCACAGCAAGGGGGCAGAGGTGGGGATGGAGGACAGGATTGGTTTAAACTTGGCTCACTTACCAGCAGAGTCTCTTCTTGAAAAGGGTTGGACATGAAAAATTGATTCAGCTCCCAACTACAACACCTAGGTAGGTTTTCCTGTTCATCTGTTGAATGTCTACCCATATGTGAGCTAATTATATTTTCCCTGTAACTACTATCCATACCTGAAAGTACTCATTCCTCCAGAACTCAGAGCTGCTTCAAGGACCAAGCTGCACCAGGGCCAAAGAGATTTCAAGCACCACCAGGACCTTGACATCCTTTCTAATGGCATAGAGTGGACCACCAGAGAAACCCCTCCATTGCCAAGCCAGGACTTATAGGGAATATAACCCCTGGCACTGAAATCCTTCAAAAAGGGACATCACCTACCCCTTTCCACCCTAGGTTTGGAATATAAACATGCAATAAGTACTAAGATATTTTTCCTCTGTGATTTGCATTATCCTATTTTCCAGATTGTACCTTTTATAATTTATAATTATCTTAATTTTTATTTGCCTACTTTTTTATTGTGTGTATATATCTTTCACAGACTATAAACTCCATATCTGACAAATGCAAAATACTGAATAAATATTGGCTCAGGGAATGAGTAGATAAACCTTTAAAAAAAATCTAAATATTCAAACTTTTTCTTTCCCCTCACTAATTCCTCTTAAAAAAGGAAGGAAAATGAGACAGGAAAGGAACTAGAAGCATTAGACCAGATTACCTGCAGTATTATTATTGCCCTCTACACTTTAGTTGTACCTAAATTGGAAGAACGAAGCAAAGCTGTCTTCAAACCCTTTATTCCTTAGTTCAGTTTTTTTCAAAGCCCGAATGGGGATTGGCAGTCTTCATGCTCTGAACAATTGGGTATTCTTTTTTCTTAGAGCCCAGATGCATTTTTTTGAAAGTCGTTCCAGGGGCCTGAGATGAAGTGGGGGTGTGAGAAGTAAGTTGGCTAGGGCAGATAGAACCTAAGTGTCTTCTCCTTAAGTCAGCTCCCCTTACGAGGCTGTATGATACTGGGCCACCCCCATTCACCGTGGAAAACAAACCCATCACTAATGGACTGTATTTTGGCATATGAAGTAGTCAAAGACAATTCCTGATAGAACCATTATCTACCTGTGTGGTCCTTCAAGAATTAGAGGAAGAAGAATTCTGTGCCTCTGAGAGATTTTGAAAAAAGAAAGAGTGCTTCTGGGGGGACTAGAGGACAGAATATATATCCAGAAGGAGATTATAAGAGAACTAGGTAAACAGGACCACAGAAGGACTTCCAAGAGCCTAAGGAAAGGTCTCAAATGAAAAGCTAGAGGTCCTATTCTACCTACAAACGTATTTCATTTGGGTCACACAGTGCTTATCAGGAAATCCAAATTCTGATGCCTCCTGCAAAGTTGAAAGATCTGGTAACACTGGGATCACATCCCATAGAGCAACAATATCCTAAAGCTGGGGTGCAGCTCCCCCTTAAAAGGGAGCATATATTTTTTGGTTAGCCAAGTCTCACTACTACCTGTTACCTTATATTCTCCCAATTTTACTCATTTATATTGGTTCCAGTAGGCTGTGAGATTTCAATTTTCATCTATGGAATAGATTTAGGATTTTTAAGGGGACAGTGTAGAAGTGAATGCATAGTCACTGTTTGCCTGACTCCACTGGATAGAAGCAAAGGCTCTGAGAAGGTGTGGTTGTCACACAGTGATTAAAGTCCTCTGGAGACACACATGGAGAATGTCTCTTGAACCTGAGCATTTGTCAGTGATGGAAAATTTCCTGGTGAATTTTTCACTCCTTGGTGATAGTTTTCTTTGTTAACATCCTAGGCTTTGCATTTTCGTCAATTTGTGCTGATGTCTCTGTAAACACTCTTACCTCTTTTGGACATTACAGCTATTCTTTAATCTTTATACTTCAACCTTCATTTGTTCCAAGTGGCTAAGTAGCTCTCTACTGGAAAATTTGCTTAGTCTCAGCAAATGTGCCTGTTATTAGTTCAGATTAGTTTTGCCAAATCACTGAATATAATATCCTTGGGGTAGAATAAATTAATACATTTGTAAAGGTAATTCCACTAAGTTTTCTTTTTCACAGCAGTCAGAAAAAGGAAATAGAACATTTATAATGGAGCCTTTGGAGTGGTTTTCTAAAAGACCCACAAAAATTCTAATTCATTGTAATTTGGTACCTTTCACATTTACAGAGACAGATCATACTGGCCACTTCCACATCCTTTAGTGCTTCCCACCTTTGGCCAGGCTAAGAGAAAAGAAGGATCTAACTTGGGCATGCCATTTAGTCTGTCTGTGCCTTGGTTTCCTCATTCACTTACTGTCATTTATTGAGCACATGTGGAGTGTATTGGGCAAGAAAGGAGGCCTACCCTCAGCTCAGAAACTAATAAACTGAAAGAATTCATTTTAAAAAATTGTTTTTCTGAAAGTGGGGTCCCAGACCAGTAGCATCATCATTACCTGGGAACTTTTTAGAAAAGCAAATTCTCAACACCCACTTCAAATGTAATGAATCAGAAAGTCTGTGGGGTAGGGCCCAGTAATTCGTGTTTTAACAAGCCCTCCAGGTGATTGTAACAAGCATAAATATTTGAGAATGTGTGTGTTCTGTGTTCCATTTACAGAAACTATGTGAGTTTCTCCACAAAGCTTTCTCTGAAATGAAATGAATAAACTAAGCATGAGGTCTGTGGATTCAAAGAGGTGGACTTTTTCCTCTGTGAATTTTTCCCGTCTGGCAGATATGTGTGGGTAACTCAGCGTAGCTGTGTTATAGACAGGACCAACCTTAATTGTGGAATGAATGAAACACCTTTGCTCCTTATCTATCACTCCCTTTAGGGTCGTTTCTTGGATTTCTTGGCCCCTTCAGTCCATCAGCACCTCCACAGCCCAACAATCTGTGCTTCTTCCCTTTATAAAGCCCCCTTTTTATTGTTTATTCATTAGAAAGATAGGATCTACCAATCACATGAGGGACTGATGTTTGTTTTAAACCATGAAGATGAATAGGGTAAAACCTGCAACATAGTTTGAGTAATTGACACTGCAGTTTTCTTGCTAGCCAAACTATTTGATTTCCACATCAAATCAATGTCAAGGAATCTGACTATTCCGGGTTTGTTCATTTTTCAGCTACTGAGGTAGTCACTCTAACGAATTACTGCAAATGTGGATAATTTTTTAGCGAGAAGTTTTAAAAATAGCACATCAGCTATGTTCTGGGTCACAGCCTCGCTGATCTAATCATTTGCTCTGTCTTCAAGATTGACATTGATTCCTGCAGACAGTTTGATTGTGCAGTGACTGTTAACCCAGGTATAAGCCCAGGAATAATGTTGTCTTAGATGTGAAAAATGAGCCATACTTCCTGGAAGTATATGGATTACTTTCATAACCTTGTAAGTTTCCTTCAGATGTAGGATTATTTTTAGAATTATAAAACCAAATGTTACATACATTTTTTTATGTCCTGATAATTGCTTTAAGTTGTGGTCATCAACCATGCTTTGCTAACACTACAAATAGTGGCTAGTGCTGCAGTACAATATACAGTGGCATTTTGTCATAGCAAAAGTACTTCTGGCTTAGTGAGGTATGAATTGCATATACCTTGAAGAAATTAATGTAGCCCCTGCTATTTCTTTAGAGTACTGCAGAGATCATCTGGTATAAGACAGGAGTATGAGAAGATAATAACACCAGAAACTTAGGAATCCTTAATCCAGGGGCTCAGGGGTTCCCTGGGCTCTGTGGGGCTTTGTATGGGAAGTAAGCAGTGGTTAAACAACAGACTGGGAAGACAAGTCTGTGCCTCGCCATTCCCACCCACTCTCTTGAGTCTTCTGCAGGGGGTACTTGACTTTTTTTTCTTTCTCTCATTCTTTATGACAGACTATAAGAGGATTCATAGTCTCCAATCAATTTTTCTTCAAAATTTGGCCTTGCGTCATATGAATATGATGGATTTGACACATTTATGTTGATCAATTTTGTTGATAAAAATGGAGAGGCATTTAAAATCTAGAATTTAGAAGAAGAATGCAATCTACTGCTTTATCTTTACCATGGAAGTGGGTATCCTTCCATTTTTAATTGTAATTGAACTTAATATTATATTCATCCTATTATTATAATTACAGTTTTGTTTTGTTTTGTTTTGTTTTTGAGACGGAGTCTCGCTCTGTCGCCCAGGCTGGAGTGCAGTGGCGCGATCTCAGCTCACTGCAAGCTCCGCCTCCTGGGTTCACACCATTCTCCTGCCTCAGCATCCCGAGTAGCTGGGACTACAGGCGCCTGCCACCACGCCTGGCTAATTTTTTGTATTTTTAGTAGAAACGGGGTTTCACCATGTTAGCCAGGATGGTCTCGATCTCCTGACCTCACGATCCACCTGCCTCGACCTCCCAAAGTGCTGGGATTACAGGCGTAAGCCACCGCCCCCGGCCTATAATTATGGTTTTATTGCCCCTGGTTAAGTTCAGAATTAAGATGTTGATGCTGAAATTAATGTTCAGAAAAGATAGGGGATTTCACAAGGGGTCACCTACTCAGTCAGAAATAAGATTCATTAAGATGGTAAGAAAAAAAGGCAGCCCCTGCCACCCAGGAGCTGTCCTAGTACTATCAACCGGGCCTTGGTGTTCTCAGATGAACACAAAACATTTCATACACACCATCATCAAACAAGGCTATTCTATGACCATGATGGATCAAGACAAAAACAAGACTACTCTGAATTCACATCTGAAAACAGAGAAAACATTGTCCAAATCAAAAAATATGAAACATTTACCTGTCTTATCTAATGAGTGACTGAGATATCTAAGACCACACAGTCCCATGGTGTGCATCATCCCTTGCTGCAACAAGCAAACCAAACTTGGTTCAACTCTAGGGGTTTCCTGGTGGTCTTTGGCCAGAAAATATTCTATAAATGAGCTAATTACTCAGTTGTGTCCATTCTGGGAAACAAATCTGAATTCTACTAGTTAGGCCCACCTCCTTAACACTAGGCCTGGCATGTTCTTAAAGCAACTCTGTCCCTCTCTGTGACTTCAGTTCTTCTGGGAGATTTATTATTAATGGGCTCATATGATGAAAAGATTTTAGTCTTTTGGACAGAAGGAGTAACTTTCTTCTTAGAATCCAAACTAAAAATGGATCTTTCATTTATAAATGATAATAGCTAACAGCTAATACTATATATCAGGCACCGAGCTAAGTATTTTACATAAATTGTTTTAATCCTTGTAACAAGCCTATGAAATGGATATTATTACCACCTCCACTTTACATACAAGGAAACAAATACAGAGAGGTGAATTAAATTGGCCAAGATTATACAGCTAATGGTAAAGTTAGGGCTCAAATTCAAGTTGTTCTAACACTACATCCTTTGCTTTTTTTGCTGTGAGATTTTTTTTTTCTTAGACACCTAGGTTGCTTCCAAATCTTGGCTATTGTTTGTTTGTTTGTTTCTGAGATGGAGTCTCGCTCTGTCACCCAGGCTGGAGTACAGTGGTGTGATCTCGGCTCACTGTAACCTCTGCTTCCTGGGTTCAAGTGATTCTCCTGCCTCAGCCTCCCTAGTAGCTGGGATTACAGACATGTGCCACCATGCCTGGCCAATTTTTGTATTTTTAGTAGAGATGGGGTTTCACCATGTTGGCCAGGCTGTTCTCAAACTCCTGACCTCCAGTGATCTGCCTGCCTCAGACTCCCAAAGTGCTGGGATTACAGTCATGGGCCACCACTCCCGGCCACATCTTTTGCTCTTCACTCACATTCCGTTGCTTTTGAGATGCCTTCTCTTCCCTAAAATCTGATAGTAGTAAATCAAAATGCCAGCTATATACAGAGTAACATACATGATTCCAGAAGATCATAATAATAATTGTCAAAATATTTGCATATTTTATCTTATGGTAAATGTAATTTCCAACATCATTCTTCTTAGTACAATAATGAGTCCAGTGATCAAACTCTTGAGAGAAAAATGCACTGTTGTCAGTATATAACTATAGGTTTCAGATTATATAAACAGGTATTGTCAGATGTATATTCTCTGAGTTATCAAGGATCATTGTGTAACTATATAGGAAGTTGTCTTCTTTGAATATGGTAGACATATCTATATTGAAAGGAATGAGAGATATCTGTAACGTGAGGATTGAGTACAAGTGTATGATGATGTTGTCAGTTGTAACACGTTTCCTGTGTAATTCTCTTCCTCACTGGTAATAGCTTGTTGAGTATTTTTATCTAGAAGTGCCACTCAGTTTGCCCTAGAGTATTTTATTTCTTTTATGCCAGTCATTCTCATTCTTCACTGTTCTCTGCCTGTTGTAGTCATAAATAGTTTACATAAATTAACTTGTTTTAGTCCTTGTAACAAGCCTATGAAGTGAATGCTATTATTGCCTTCACTTTACAGATGAGGACACTGCAATATAGAGAGGTGAATTAAATTGCCCAAGATGATTATAGCTAATGGTGAAACTAGGGTTCAAATTCATGGTGGTTTTATTCCTATCTAATAGTCTACTCGATCATTCCTTTAATGCAAACTTACCATTCTTCTACAGTTTATCAGAATTTTTATAATAGTTTAGCCATTTTTATACCTCTTCAAACCTTTAAACATTTGATCCATGTTAGTTACTAAATCAAGAGCTTATTTGAATATCCAAAAATGCATAACATAGTTTAAGTAAGCAACCAGAAAGAGATAAAATCCTTAAAAATACTTTTTAAAAGCACTATATTAAATTCAAAATAAGGAATCTGTTTAAATTTCATATTATGTGGAAATTCTAAGGTTATTAAAATAGTAAAAGTGCAGAAGCATATAAAATTTGTAAATACATTACCTTTCTGTCATTTTTCAATGTCAACTTTATAAATTAAAAGGTATGGTTTAAACATGGTTACTGTGTGCTTTCATGTCCATTATCTGGAGCAATCATGGGAAAACCTATGACCACCTGAGTCTTTAGGATATATCTTAGCATTTTGTTTATAGGATACTCTTTATCAATTCCTACTTTATACCATTTGGTTTGCAATTCATTTTTATGATCCTTCCATTCCTCCATATTGCCAATCAGATTCTAAAGCTGATGTTTGGTACTTAACAAGGAAAATACACTGTGAAAAAAACAGAGGGAAACTTAGTTTAATCATAAGCCCCTCAAATGCAAATGTATCATTGTCTTAATGTAATTCACATAAGGTTAAATACTGAAAGAAATAAAGGTTATAATTGAATTAAATAATTTCTTTCATCAGTATTGTATCCCTTAATGCAAACTTCTATGACTCCTTATATTCATAGAAAGAACCAGGAACATGGGTCAGTTTACAGAGAAGTGTTTGGCTACAGTTCTGATCTCTGAAGAGAATGTGCAATTCAGTCACTCTTGACTGCTCTGTAAGGCCTCCAGAAAAATCTGTATAAAGAGATGGATGAGGTGACAAGACAGATGCTGGTAATAAAAAAGGGAGCTTAGGGATTGCTATCACTGAAGGACTGAAGGACTGAGGATTAGGTCAGAAATATTTTTGTTCAAGTCCATTCAAGAATCAATCACATTCTGCAGGAATGCTGGGGAAAATTACAATTTGACCTGCTACAGAGGTACCTTATATCCTTGAATAGCTCCTTATACTTCAATAAGCTTAAGTACATCATGGCACTGCCAACATATTCTAACTAGCTAGCACATACCCAGCACTTTGTCATGTCACATTAATTTTTAGAGGTTTATTATATATGTGATAGGTGTGTAGATATATACACATGCACACACACACATATACACACACGTGAATGTACTGTGTAATAAAATCAAAACGCCAGTAGTAAGTATTTTAAGACAAAAATCTGGAGCTTAAATTTTCATTCAGAAAGTCATTAAAAGTTGTTATTTTTAACTTAAATGATAAATATTCTAAAGAACATTTTGCTCAATTGAGAAATAATTCACACCTTTAATTCTATCAGCATTATTCATTAAATTGGTTTGGAAGTCCAACCCTATGCTCTCAAAACTAAACAAAAATAAACATTGGAAAGAATCAACAAACTATATTACTTTATAGCTTGAAAAGCTAAAGGAGGGGTCAGGTGCGGTGCATCATGCCTGTAATCCCAGCACTTGGGGAGGCCGAGGCAGGCAGATCACTTGAGGTCAGGAGTTCAAGACCAGCCTGGCCAACATGGTGAAATCTTGTCTCTACTAAAAATACAAAACTTAGCCAGGCATGGTGGCAGGCACTTGTAATCCCAGCTACTCAGGAGGCTGAGGCAGGAGAATCACCTGAACCTGGGAGGCAGACGTTGTAGTCAGCTGAGATCACGCCACTGCACTCCAGCCTGGGTGACAGAGTAAGACTCCATGAAATTAAAAAAAAAAAAAAAGAAAGAAAAGAAAAAAGCTAAAGGGACCAGATAAACTCTCCTGAAATTTTATGTTTGTAATAGTAAAGTTATTTGAAATGTTAAAAGAAAAACTTTAGTCAAACTAAATTTAGCAGAGTTTATCTGAACAAAGAAACAGTGATTTATGAATTGTCCAGTGCTCAGAACCAGGAGAGGTTCAGAAAGCTTTACCTAGCAACGTAGGCAGGCAGCAACATTGTGCTACCTGATACTAGGTCTTTTTTTATTTTTTTTTGGAGACAGAGTTTTGCTGTGTCTCCCAGGCTGGAGTGCAGTGGCACCATCTCGGCTCACTGCAACCTCCGCCTCCCGGGTTCAAGGGATTCTCCTGCCTCAGCCTCCTGAGTAGCTGAGATCACAGGGCGTGCGCCACCATGCCCAGCCAAATTTTTTATTTTTAGTAGAGTCGGGGTTTCACCATGTTGGTCAGGCTGGTCTCTAACTCCTGACCTCGTGATCCCCCTGCCTAAGTGCAGGGATTACAGGTGTGAGCCACCGCGCCCAGCTGGCCTCATTCATTCTATCTAACTGTACTTATGTACTCATTTAATCATCCTCACTTTATCTTCTCCTCCCTGCTTCCCTTCCCAGCCTCTGGTAACCATCATTGTACTCTCTATCTCCATTAGCTCATTTTTCATTTTTTTTTACCTCTCACGTATGAGTGAGAACATGTGATATTTGTCTTTCTGTGCCTGGCTTATTTCACTTCACATAATGTCCTCCAGTTCCATGCATGTTGTTGAAAATCACAGGATTTTATTTTTTTTATTGCTAAATAATATACCATTGTGTATATATGCCACATTTCCTTTATCCATTCATCTGCTGATGGACACCTAGGTTGCTTCCAAATCTTGGCTATTGTGAATAGTGCTGCAATGAACATAGGAGTGTAGCTATCTCTTTGATATACTGATTTCTTTCCTTTTTGATATATATCAGCAGTGGGATTACGGGATCATATGATAGTTCCAATTTTAGTTTTTTTGAGGAACCTCCATACTGTTTTCTGTAGTGGTTGTACTAATTTACATTCCCACCAACAGTGTATGAAGGTTTTTCATTTTCTCTACATCCTTGCCAGTATTTGTTACTGTCTGTCTTCATGTCCTTGCCAACATTCATTTTGCCTATTTTTTGGGTAAAAGCCACTTTAACTGGTATGAGATGATATCTTATTGGAGTTTTAATTTGCATTTCTTTGATGATTATTGATGCTGAACACTTTTAAAATGTAACCGTTGGCCATTTGTATGTCTTCTTTTGAGAAATGTCAACTCTGATCTTTTGCCCATTTTGATTGGATTTTTTTGTTTGTTTGTTTTCCTCTTGAGTTGTTTGAATTCTTAGATAGACTGGTTATTTGTACTTTGTCAGATGGGTAGTTTGTAAATATTTTCTCCCGTTCTGAATGTTGTCTCTTCATTTTGCTGATTGATTCCTTTGCTACTCAGAAGCTTTTTAGATTAATGTGATCCCATTTGACAGAGCTGTTTTAAAATTCATTTACAAAATGAATTTTACAAAAGCAAATAAATTTTTTGAAAAGAAACAGAAATTAGGAAGAGAATCTGCCCTTAATGGCACTTAAGGTACTTACATCAGTAAATAAAATACAAAGCTGAAGTAGGATTTGTCAACATCAGCACCATTGATATTTGGGGCCAGATAATTTTTTATTGTGGATGCTGTCCTGTGCATTGTAACATGTTCAGTAGCATCAGTGGCCTCTACTCTACTCATCAAATGCCTGTAGCACCTTCTCCTTCAGTTGTGATGACCAAAAATGTGCTCTTGGTAGAAAATTTACCCCTGGTTGAGAACCACTGAGCTAAAGAACAAAAAATAGAATCAGAAATTAATGAAATATGTTGAAAAGCTCAAAAATTGACCAGTTATATATAAGAAATTCATGTATGGTAAGGTAGGCATTACTAAGCAATGAATAAGGAAAATATTTACAATTGGAGTTGTGATTCTCAATTTTAAAGTAGATTAGCGTATAACCCATGTTTAATACTATACATTAAAATTAATGCTGTGAATAGAATTAAATATATGAAGTAATATCATTAAAAATAACCAGAAGAGAATAGATTCAACTGTCTGATCTTTGAGGTAGTAATTATTGAAAGAAATTATCTGAAGATTCTATCACATTAAAAAAAATCACTGCCCTGCTTAAAAAAAAATCAGTGTTTTGACATGAATGTCATAATTAAAAAGGGAAATCATAGAAAAAGAAGACATTTGAACCTATTATAACAGATTTAGGATTAAACATATATACCAAGGGTTAGCAAACTTTTTTGGTAAAGGGCCAAATTATAAATGTTTTAGGCCTTGTGGGCAGGGACAGTTTCATGGACTTGTTACCTGCACTTGGTTGAAACTTCTGCTGTCACTGTCTTAACATTCCCATTAATTGTTTAACAAGGGGCTCCACATTCTCAATTTTTACTGGACCCTGTAAATTATATAGTCACTTCTACCTGTGGGCCATACAATCTCTGTTGAAACTATTCAACTCTGTGGTTGTAGTATGCAAAAGCAGCCATACATAATACATAAATGAATGAGTGTGGAAGTATTCCAATAAAACTATAAAAACAGGCAATAGACCAGGTTTGGCCCATGAGCCATAGTTTGTTGATTCTTTGTCTATATGATATAGAATGTTTATAGAAATTGAAAATAACCATATATTAATGAATTGTCCAACCTCAATAATTCTTAAACAATTGCCTATTAACAGAAAATGACTACTGAAATAATACAAACTTAAAATAATGATAAATTTCTATATTAATAGAATCATGATAAACCTAGTATCTCAAGAAATGCTCACTCCAAGCATAATTTTGGAAAACATTTGAAGAACACATTTGAAGAATTATTTAAAAAGACACTTACCCTTTGACTCAGTAACTTCACTCCTAGGAATTTATCTCAAAAAATAAATCAAAATTAGAAAATGCTATATACATGACTAGATTCTTTTAAAAGATGAAAAACCAAAAACCACATAAATATCATATAACACAAGTATGCTCAATTCAAGTACGATCTATCAATTTTATGGAAGAATACACTATTCTTGATAGTATATCAAGAATATGCTATCAATGTGGATCAAAAATGATCCACATTGGGAATATGAGATAGCATCTTGGAAAGTGTTTTCAGTATTCTGTTAAGTGGAAAGAATAAGCAATAAAGTCTGTCGATGCTGTATTTGCAATAATATAAAAACTATTGTATGCATAATGATAAATATTGGAAGAAACCACAGAGGAAAGAATCAGAATACAGTCTTTGAGTTCCAACTCTGACATCAGTCTAGTTCTGGGTGGGACATGTGGCCACTCCTTGTTTGACAGAGCACCACTTGACATGACCCTGAGCAAGGTACTTGACCTATGACTCAGTTTATTTTTCTACAAAATAGATGTAGATAACACTATACTCCCTATCTCATAAGGATGTGACACTTAAATGAAAAATATATAGGGCATAGTGCAGTGCTTTGCCCATAGTAAGCTTTCAAATGGTAGCTATTATTGTTATTATTACTATTTTTATTAGCAAAGCATGGGAAATTAAAAGTTTATTTCATTTTTAGTTCAGCTGTTAACATGTTATTTGTGCAGTTAAAGAAACTTCTAACAGCTGTCTTTTAAAATGTAATGATTAAGACTACAGCAATCTTGGCAGGTAGCAAACTAAAACCATTAAAACACGGATAATAAAAAGACTATTATAAAGATTTCACCAACAGAAATGGGAAAAGAATTACTGGAATGCTTTCAAATAAGTTGCTAAGGAAAGTCACAGAGACAATTAAAATGAGCACAGGGAAAAAGGTAATGAGCGGTGATAATTAAAGCTGCCACCAGATACATATACACATGCACACTCACACACATCTATATGTCCTTTAGGGAAATTGACTGAGTCAGCAGAGGAACAGAGGAAAGGATAGTTTTTAAACCGGCCATGTCATGAACACGCTCCTCCATCCGGCTTCTCCCCTACTGTGAAAGGGGAAGAGAAGTCACACAGCATCAGCATTAATGCTACGGAAGCTTTCTGTTAAAGCTTGTCCTTGCCTTTGTCCTCACCTCTCACTGTAGGTGGATGGGGCTCCCAGACACCATGTAGATAGATGGTCCGTGGAGGTTCGCAGTTGGGTTACTTTAAGCAATTCTGCCCCAAGTGTAGGAGGTGGGTACATAACACTGAATTCACTCCAGCTACCTGGTACGTGAGAAAAGAAGCATTTAATGCTGAAATCTGGAAGTATTCTGCAACTTCATGATAATTATCCTTGTTACAAAGGGCCAGATTATGATTTATAGGACCATCTCACCTTGTTGCTCTCTATCTAGGAATATCTGTTAGACTGAACTAGGCAGTGTTCTATTTCCTCGCCATGCCAGAATTTGCAAATTCTCTCAGCACAGAGATGTATGTGTATAATGTTTGAGTATAAAACAATATATTACCTACAGGAAGTCAGTAGATCGTTAATGATATTAAGATGTTCTACTTGTGGTATCAAATTCTCAACATTTTGACTGTGCTGCTCCTCATAATACCTAAAGATGCAGGGAACATGCTGTTCTGAGATTATGTCTTGCTCCATACCCACCTGGACAGTATTTATCCTCTTGTTGCTATCCTGCGATCAGTTCTAATTGGGTAATCAAGCTCACACTTTCTAGAGCTCCCTAATCTATGCATTACCTCAGCTGGGCTCTTAGAACCTTCATTTACTCTGAAATTCACAGGTAGAATGCTCATAGCCTTGGCAGAGAGCCAGGGAATCCCTTTGTTTTGTCCCTTGGTGTTACCGTCTTATGTACTTGCTCATCGTGCCAGTGTCCTTTTTTCATTTCCCCATAGTATTCTGGCAGAAATAATGGAAGCCTCAACTGGAGCACTTCACTGACATCAGTAGATGTGTTCTCTAGATCTGGGTTTCTTTGGCATTAGTGATGTTTGGGGCTGGATAATTCCTTGTTATGGGAGGTTGCATTGTGCATCATAGGATGTAGAGCAGTATCCTTGGCCCCTACCCACTAAATGCCTTGAGTTGTAACAACCCAAAATGTCTCCAGACTTTGCCAAATGTCCACTGAGGGGCAAAATTGCTTCAATTGAGAACCACTCTTCTAGATGATACTTCTATATGAACTTCTAACCACTTTTATGTTAAAAATGTCATTTAATTGAGCACGGTGGTTTACATATATTAACTCATTATTTATCACTTCAACTATAAAAGGATGTTATTAAATCCTTTCTTTCAGATGAGGAAATTGAGGCCCTGCCAAGTGTTACACAGTTAATAAGCAGCAATATCAGGAAAACTGTTTTCAAACTGACTGCTTTACCTAATCTTATAGTCCAGATGGATACAGGCTTAAGATAAGGCTTGATCCAGCAGTACAAAGACATTAAATATGGACTTTATCCTCTCACACTCCTCCCACCTAATTTAATTTCTTAGCTCCCTTTCTTTATCCTCATGTTTCACCCCTTGGCCTAGCAGCTCTAGACTTTCCTCTTGTGGTAGTAGTTCATGTCATACAGCTTCATATTACCCCATCCAAAAAGAAGGCACACTTTCATGGTAGCTCCACAGAAATTTAACTGTTTTTCCTCTTAAGCTCCAGAAAAATATTTCACTGGTTCTCATTGAGTCATATGCCCATCTCTGAACCAACGGTTGCAGCTAGAAGGTTGAACATGTTGTTGGCTTTAGCCAATCAAGGCTCTACCCTGGAGCAAGGCATAGGGTTAATCCCCATCAAACGATATAGCCAAAAGTAAGGAGAACTGGTTTTTCAAAGTATGTTAGAACGATAATCCCAGAAGATGAAGAAATGGATGCTGGGTTGAGGACAAATAACATGCTTCTACACCAATTTTGTTAACAATGTTAACATGACTCCTACAGTTGATAGTTTTTGTTAACACTACCCCTCTCCCTGTTCTATTTTTGCAACTTTACCATAGGCCTGTTTTCTTTTTCTTTTTTCATAAGGTATTGCAGTACAGGCAGTATTAGGTTACATAAGTAAGTTCTTTAGTGGTGATTTGTGAGATCCTGGTGTACCCATCACCTGAGCAGTATACGCTGCACTGTATTTGTTGTCTTTTATCCCTCACCCCTCTCCCACTCTTCCCCCCAAGTCTCCAAAATCCATTGTATCATTCTTATCAAAGGCCTGTTTTCTTTGCTTGACATTGCTGGAAACTCCTTGAGATAAGTGTCCAGGGACAGCCCATTAGTCAGTAAAGAACAGTATGGTGGACCCAGATCCGTGGGTCCTACCCTGCTCTTTGGAGAGGCTTCCCCAGCTGGCTCCTATGGAATGGCTGGAACCTCTGGCTCACAGGGACTCCCTGAAGGGCAGAGCCAGACTGACCCCCTGCAAGTAGTACAGCACTTCATTCTTCAAGGGGAAAAGAAAGGAACTTACCTTTTTTGAGCACTTACTGCATGCCACACCAGTCACATACACCATATTATTTCTTTCTACAACCACCCTGAGGTAGGTATTGCCACCGTGCTTTAAAAACGAGGAAATGGAAGCTCAGAGGTGAAGTAACTGCCCCAAATCATACCACCTGCAGGAAGCAGTACACAGGTTTGAAATGATGGCTGTTTCACTCTGAAGTGTGTGCTTTTTGTCTCCAAAAGTGAATATCTTAGAAGAATATATATTTACAGAGAATATACATTTGCTAAGAATTTGTTACTTATCAAGAAATATGCTCAACACTACTTGAATAAGACAGAACTCAAAGCCTTTTCTCTTTTTCTGAGGATTAAATGAATGGAAGAAGGAAAGAAAATAGGAAAAAGAAATTCCTTGTATAATGAGAGGATCCTTAGCTGTTCTAGTAGTAAAGAGACCATGTAGAAAATCAGCATCAACATATAACAACAACAGCATCTATAGCAATGGTGAAGCAAGTTCTTCACTAGGAGAGCAATGCATGACTTCTTTAGGTAGTGACACCAAGTCCTCAGAGAAATATAGCAGCAGCTGGGGCAGCCCTGCAGCAACTTGGGAATTGAAGTAGCACCTGAGAAACTGGGGAAGCCAGCAGTATGTATGACAGTCCCATCATAAGGCAACTCAGCTCTCCCCTCAGGTTGGTGTGTCCTAGGGGAATTCCTGTTAGATGATGTGCCAATACACACCAGCATGCTTTTTGCTAAAAGGCAGATTCTGCAGTCTACCATTTTTCCATCATATGTCTCAGAGAATATGGGCAATTGTATGTGATGTGGCTTGTTCTACAGATAGTCTAGAGCAGGAGTCCTCAAATTGGGTTCTGCAGAGGGCTAGCCTTCTGAGAGAGAGCCTTAAAGATGGTATGAGGTGGGACCAGGAGGCAACCTGTGTGTTTTTTCTTCACTGCTTCTCCTAGGGTACCTCCACTTCAGCATGTTTCTAATATTTGAGTTCTATGTAAGATTGTGTCTGTGAAGGACATTTTACACTAACAAAGATTTAAAAGCCATAGTCTCAGAAGGAAGTACATATCTGCCTCTGAAATGTCTAAGTTATCTGAGAATGACAGGTCTTAAAACAGTATGGAAGTCAACAGCTGTGAAGGACACCAGCTGTTGGTGGCAAGTCTCTCCTGAGTTTGCATGGGAACAGTAGTTTGTTGGTGTACAATAGTGTCGGTCACGACATTCTAAAAATAGAATTTGTGTGAGACCATTCATCATAAAGCAAACCCCCGCCCCCGCCATGATAGTAGATCCTTTATTAATTCACCCACAGACAACAGGACCTATAATGATACATTCTAAGTAAAGCACCAGGACTTTAAGTGTTTTGGTTGTCTATCCCAACTAGTGACAGTGAAAGAGGCTACAGACTACTTCTCTCCCAACCTACCATCTAAGAGTATGAAGAAACGCATTTAAGAAATGGAGTGGGGCCTGGTGCAGTGGCTCACACAGGTAATCCCTGTGCTGTGGGAGACTGAGGTGGGAAGATTGTTTGAAGCCAGAAGTTTGAGACTAACCTGGGCAACAAAGTGAGACCCATCTCTACAAAAAAAAAAAAAAAAAAAAAAAAGAAAAGAAAAATTTTTAGCTGGGCACCATGGGATGAGCCTGTAGTGCCAGCTATTTGGGAGGCTGAAGTGGGACAATTGCATGTGCCCAGGAGTTTGAGCTTGCAGTGAGCTATGATGGTACCACTGAACTCCAGTCTGGGTGACAGACTGAGACCCTGTTTCCAAAAAAAAAAACCTTAATTGGGGAAATCGTGCTATATTTTGAGATAACTTGAGTTCCCCTGGGAAGTGATGAAATGGCAAATGTAGTGTAAAATCAAACATCCAGTCACTTTAGTTGTATCAATTTAAAGAAAATGATGTATGAATATTGATATGGTTAGGCTTTGTGTCCCCACCCAAATCTCATCTTGAATTGTAATCCCCATAAGCCCCATGTGTCAAGGGAGAGACCAGGTGGAGGTAATTGAATTATGGGGGCAGTTTCCCCCATGCTGTTCTCATGGTAGTGAGTGACTCTCAAAAGATCTGATGGTTTTATAAGCATCTGGCATTTCCCCTGCTTGTACTCATTCTCTCCCCTACCAACCTGTGAAGAGGTGCCTTCTGCCATGATTTTAAGTTTCCTGAGGCCTCCCCAACCATGCAGAACTGAGTCAATTAAACCTCTTTTCTTTATAAATTACCCAGTCTGAAGTATTTCTTCGTAGCTGCATGAGAACAAACCAATACAAATATATATATATGAAGTACATATATACATTATATGTGTGTATAACCAAACCAGTACTTCATTATTGTAGAAAACAAATAGTTTTTAGTTTCTTTTTAAAATGTGTCAACATTATGTAATAATATGAAACCTCTGCCCGAGTTCTTCTCCTGTTTCAATTAATGATGTATTATAACATATGGCTTGATATCTGGTGCTAAATCTCCCCCATATTATAGAGATGGAATAACAAGCCCTCAAGCCTCCCTAGGGGAGCTATTGTGAGGAATAAATAAGAATATTCCACTGTGCCATAGTCTCTGGCAATTGGCAATGTAAGAAGCTGAAGAAAATAGAAAACTTCTGCAAAAATGGACATTCTCTACAAATTTGGGTGAAGGTCTTTGCTTTTGTTGATGATTACACACTAACAATGATTTAAAGTGCTCTGCCAGAAAATAGGGGGGATGCCAGGATCATATCCAAAAGATATGATCCACTATTCAATTTTGAACATTCATTTTAGTTCATGGTGGGGAACAATTAAAAGCTTCCATTTTGATGACTTTGAATTTGTTTCCCTTCTTTTCACTGAACTCAAAGTTAATGATGCTCTCGGCTGCTGTCATTGAGTCTTTCACAGAGTGTTTTATTCCTTCCTTATAAAGTGGGCATCGTGGTGACGGTTTCACTTCGGAAAGAAAACACACTATGAGCTCTGAGTGCCCTGAGGCCTAGGGTTGGGGTTTATAGACACAATGGAGGAGATCTGAGGGTGCAAAAAAGCTGTGCAGCAGGTCTTCAAATAACATTGCTTCATTACAATGTTGATAAGGAAAAAAAGTTGATTACTGGTCAGTGCCACAGTCTGGCTGAAGTTTGCATGCTTTCTCCATGTCTGTGGGTTTTCTCTGGGTACTCTACCTTCCTTGCACATCCCAAAGCTACGCACATTAGGTGAAGTGGTGTGCTTATGTGGTCCCAGACTGAGAGAGTGGGTGTGGTGTGAGTGTCCCTCCCATGGGATGGCGTCCTGTCCAGGGCTGGTTCCTCCAGTTGCTGGGATGAATAATATCAACCCTCAACCCTTAGTATATAATTAGCTTTTTATTAATCTTTCTTAAATGTATGTATAGTTCACATTTATTGCAATGCTTAATATTAAAAGCATTTTGATATCTGTCTTTGGAACTTCGGTGATACTTTTATAGCCAGAAATGTGCCATAGGAACTTAACTCCAGTTTATATTAATTAGCCTATGGTAAAATTGGCTTTGTTGTACGTCATTTTGCTGAAAGTCACAGTTTCCAAGATCTGAGGACTTACCATGTTAGCATGTTTGTTAATTCATGCATGTTACCATGAATTTGTGTTTGTGCAGGAATCTGTCATTTGGACTCATTTAAGGAATGAATTTTGCCAGCAATTCCTCCTTAAGTGAGTAGGATCATTAAGTCAATTTCTTTAGAATACATGACATCTTTAATGTTTCTTATGGCCCATTTGTGGAGTGAAATATTGCCACTGCTCACACTGTGGCTTCCCTAAAATAGCAGGCACCGCAGATGGATTTAACGAGAGCCATGCCTCACCTCTCTGTGCAGGGCTGACTGGCTCATTCCAATTCCACATAGCTCACCCAAAGCAAGAGCTGGTCCACTGCCATACAAGGATTTACCCATAAACTCCTGTTTCCCAGAATTTCTTAACCCAATTGCAAAAACTTCCTGTGCAGCTGAACACGAAGCGGGAGCATGCAGTGAAAATAACTCCAAATGAACAAAGAAAGAAGGACCCAAAGCAGTCAGAATGAGTTGGTTTTGAAATGTCACACACCCATGCTTACACATTGTGTTCACTCTTGGAGGCTTCATACACTCAGTTAGCATTATCCCCCCGCCCCCCACCCCACCACCACCCCCACCCCCTATGTAACCAAGAAATATAATTTAAATGTGTCAGATACTAGAGACAGCGATCTGGTGGATCATTAAGATGCTTTGTAAAAATGATAGATCCTTTCCTATTTTACCAAACCAGTTGTCAATATTGAGGCTTGGAGGATGTTTAGGATCAACCCATCAATATCCCTTATTTTGCATCTGGAGAAACTGAGGCCCAGAGAGATTAAAGTCATTTTTCGTAGATCGTACAGTAAGTAAGTGAGAAAACTGAGGTCTGACCTCATGTCTCCTGACTCCCAATTTAATGTTCTTTCTACAGAACCAAAGAGCCCATGGCTTATTTTCATCACTTTTCAATCTAATTTCCTGAGCTTACCCTCCTGACATGATGGTTTAGCTGCTTGCACTATGAACAAGTGTCATGGTAGCTTTTCCCAAAGGTGATTTTCCTGGGAATCCCTTTGCTTATTACAAGGAGGCAGAAAAAGATTTTGAGATATTAATTTGTGCACACACATGTATGTGTGTTGATTCCCCTCCCCCCTCCTCACTCATCCCATTCCATTTCAATACCAAGCAAGTAGCCAGGGCTTGAGTGTGCCTTAGTCATTACAGAGATATATGCCAGGGAAAACAGCTGAAGCTACTGAAAGTCACTGATTGTTCTTGTTGTCATAGGCTGTTTGTGCTGCTATAACAAACCACCATACACTGGGTGGCTCATAAACAAAAGAAGTGTGTTTCTCATAGTTCTGGAAGCTGGGAAGTCCAAGATCAAGGCATTGATAGATTCAGTGTCTGGTGAGGGCCCTCTTCCTAGTTCATAGATGACTGTCTTCTCCTTGTGTTCTTATGTGGCAGAAAGGAGTGAGAGAGCTTGCTGGGTCTCTTTTATAAAGAAACTAATCCCATTTATGAGGGCTTCAACCTCAAGACCTAATCACCTCCCAAAGATCCCATCTCTTAATACCATCCCTTGGAGGCTGGGATTTCAACATATAAATTTGACACAGCTCTTGTGTTTTATCAAAGCTTATATTTTTTTAAGTTGTTATACTGGTATACCTGAAGGGGCAGGAAGAGAAGAGGCATGTCCTTGAGGGCCAGAAGGGAGAAGGAAGGAGCATATTCCTCAAAACTAGAAAAGAGGAACAAAATGATTAGGTCTTTCTATTAATGGAGACATATGTCCTGTTGGGTGGCAGATCTTCTGTGAGGTAGCGGAACCTGAAAGGTGATGACCACATGGGGGCACCAAAAGAGGCTGAACCTTGGACCCTGCAACTCCAAGCCCCAGCAAAGGTGCCTGTGCCCTAATTGTGACACAGAAGCAGCAGAGCCATGGGAACTTGAAGGGACTTTGTGGGCTGCACACAAAGGGCTGCAGAGCTAACCAGTATAGATCAGCACCTTGAGGGCCTCTTTGATGCACTAGGATCCCGTAGGGGAGCCCCAATAATCACGACTGGGAATACATTTCCTGTGGCCCAATGTGATGGTGGCTTCAATGCCATACATACATTCACTTTAAAAAATAAAAAAATGTAAAAGTGTTCCTTTTTCTCTGCAACTTTGCCAGCATCTGTTGTTTCTGGACTTTTTAATAATCGCCATTCTGACTGACATGAGATAGTATCTCATTGTGGTTTTGATTTGCATTTCTAATGATGAGTGATGTTGAACGTTTTTTCATAGGTTGGTTGTTGGCTGCATGAATGTCTTCTTTTGAAAAGTGTCTGTTCATGCCTTTTGCCCACTTTTTAATGGGGTTTTTTTCTTGTAAATCCATTTAAGTTCCTAGTAGATTCTGGACATTAGATTAATAGATTGCAAAAAGTTTCTCCCATTCTGTATGTTGCCTGTCTTTAACATTTTCCTTCAAAAGAGTTTCCAAGTGAATTGTAGGCCAGCAGCTCAGGCTATACATAATTTCATTTTGAGGTTAAACAACCCCCAAATCTGTTCATTTTTCATTTGACATAATGAAAACAGGAGAACCCACAGTTATTCAGAAGATGTGAAGTTTCTAGTTTTTCAATTTTGTTCCTGTGTTTTTTGTTTTTTGTGATGGAGTCTCACTCTTTTGCCCAGGCTGGAGTGCAGTGGTGTGATCTCAGCTCACTGCAACCTCCACCTCCTGGGTTCAAGCGATTCTCCTGTCTCAGCCTCCCAAAGTAGCTGGGATTACAGGCATGTGCCATCACACCCGGCTAATTATTTACATTTTTAGCAGAGATGGGGTTTCACCATATTGGCCAGGCTGGTCTAGAACTCCTGGCTTCAGGAGATCCACCCACCTTGGCCTCCCAAAGTGCTGGGATTACAGACACAAACCACTGCTTTCAGCCGGCTTTCCTTTTAACTCAGATCAATCTGACAAATTCAAGATGACTGCCTAGGATGTTTGAGATACTTTGTTATTGCTGTCAGGAGCACACACACATGCACACACTCCATCAAGAAGTTTAGGGAGAGCAGGTGAGAAAAATAATGTTGCAAACTCCCCTCACCCACATGCCCACGGCAGGTGTCTCCTTCCAGGCCTAATATAAGCTCCCTCCACTGACCAAAGCTGTGGTTCAAATGCTCCTCGTACACAGTAGGGATGCAGTGGAACAAACACTGGATTTTAAAAGCAAAGCGTGAGGTCCACATCCTTTATTTGGATCCTAGTTTCTTTAATTCCTTCACCTGTTAATGGATGTGATACCTGCCTCACCAACTAGAGGGTTGGTCAGAATATATCACACTTAAAAGCGCGGTGTAAAAAATTTTTAAAGACATTGTCAAAGAATAAGTATATAAAACAGACAAGAAGGAATTAAGTATAGAGGGTAAAATGTAAAGAAGTAGAAAAGGTAAATAACTTAATAAATTTAAACAAAAGAAAAAAACTGGACAGAGGTTGATAGTAAATTCCAGTGGAACTATTGGGGATGTGACGTATTAGGGAAATGAGATTATTTAAAAGCAGAACCAATTGAGTACACCATAAACGCTAGACAGGAAAGGGGGAGTCATAATCTAAAACAGTTAAATAGTGAATTTTGTGCAGAAGTTGAAGGCAACTGGACAAAGTAGCAGCCGAATTTTTGGGAGAGTAGATTGACTAGAGAAGACCAATAGGAAGTTAATAGAAACTCGCAGGAGAAAAATACAAAATAAGTGAGTTGAATGGATAAGACAAGGAAAGATTCCCCCCTCCCACCCACCCTCAAGTCACTGTCTTATTTGCCTAGGAGTTAATATAAAGTGTTTCATGGGTTGGAGCCCCCAAGGAGATTCATCTGACCATTCCTATGACCTGCCTTGTTCAAATTGGTCAGTTCTAAACTCAGAATAAAAAAGTTGTTAGGTCTGCTTCTGGAAGTTTGTCTTGCTTGTTATCAGATCAAGGGTTTGATGTTGGATCAGAGCCACAATGATACATTAATTCACAAGTGTAATTGTATATTGAAATGGCAAAGTGTATCTGCAGTCATTCAGTAAAAAGAAAAACAGTGCAGTGTGGTATTCAAGGATTAGCTGTGTTTATCATTTTGCATCTTATTAAATTTGCAACATTCCCAAGATCTCAGAAACAGAAACAAAAGCTAGTTCTCATGTGTACCCTGTAGCCAATTTTGGGGCCCTGATTACCTATTCCATGAGAATATACAAACTTTGAGAAATTCACACTTTATTTTTTTCCATTTATAAAACCAATACATATAAAATGCAAAAAAGAAAAACTCATCAAATGTTTAATCATTCATAGGAATCCATTTCTAATAATTTGATGTATTTCCTTCTAATATTTTCTAGGCATATTTTATTTCATGATTTCATGCTGTATTTCACAGATAAATTTTTTTAAATTTATCTTTATAATAAAAAAGGGCATTTAAAATACTCTTTTAAAATAAGGTGTCCAATTCTAAAATGCTGTGTGCATTTGAAAACTTTCATCTTTGAGTTTCTACAACAAGATCTTTAATAGGAAGTAAAATTCAGCAGCAAAACTGACCATAAATTTACAGAACCCATTTGAAGGGTCAGAGCCAGCAAAGTCAGCAGATTCTAAAGCCTCTCCAATTTCTGTGCCTTGCCAAGTGACTGAAGTGGAGAGGCAATTTGACTATTGCCTTCTGACTTTAATTAATGTTTAATACTCAGTGGCAAACGTGCACTTCCTCTTGTAAGTTCTCATTAAGTTCTTTTTGAATCAGTTAACACTCTGTTTATAAAGATGTGGGTATTTTCTCTTAATTACTGTAATTTTGACTACTGCTGTAAAAATCAGTTCTCCATGTCACACTGTCAGAGATCATTACAGATGTATACAGGCTTCTCCCCTCCCTCTCCTGGAACCAATCCAGTCATCTCTGGAAATTAAATGCATTAAAAGGTTTAATAAAGAAAAGGAAAATCCAGACATATCATATCTCATTTCAAACCATTCCAGAATAAAACCAGGATGTATTCATCAGGATGCTGAGATGTATTGTTTAAACATTAAGGATATCGATGCAGAGTTCTATTAATTACAATAAATTATTGTAAATCCAATTCATTCCACTGAACAAGGATGAATTGAGATGACTGATGCTCACAGAAGCACATTTTTGATTGTTGATATTTCCTTTCATATGGAAAGACACCCGTAAGGGCATAAACCCTGGCCTCTGTCCACACCTTCAGTTGTTCTTCCCCTGGGATGCAATAAAGTACACGATTGCCAAGTTTGCAAGAAAAACTAGGTATGCATAGCTCAGCATCTTCCTTTCTCCTTCCCCTTGGGAGCCAGCTACCACAGGAAATATGTGTTCTAGTCTGTTCCTTCTGTGTGGAAAAGGACTGTGGTTTTCTAGCACTATCTATGACTGAGTAGGCACATCTACCTGATTTTGTGGTTCAGTATTAGGAGGTCCACCTAAGTCTCTAACCCAGGCTTTAGAAGTAATGAGGGACTATTTTGATCTCTCTCACACCTCTCTCAACTGATTCAAAACCCATCGTGGGCTAAAGTGGGTGCTATTTTATCAACACCACCAAAACACAAAGGCTAGTTTCAAAATAAAAAAGAATTAAAACATCAGACTTTTAGACATTATTAAAGTTTTTTTTTTTTTGAACTAGTCATTCTCTGCTCTGAATTTGCAGGTTTTTAAAATTTATTTATTTTTTTTCCAGTGAATTCTGCTGTACTCTCTGCCTTGTAGTGTTTAATTCTGGATCTATTGAATAAAAAGGAAGGAATCTAGCTGTCTGGCCAGAATTTTCTTTGGCAGGAGGTTGTTATTCCTCATGCATTGATATTTGTCCTCTGTCATATTAGGAATTACTTTCCCTATTAATAATGACTTGATGAGGTTAAGTGAATTGTCCAAGCTTACACAGCCATTTAGCAGCAGAAGAGGGGTTTGAACTGTCCAGCTCCAAGGCCAGAGTTTTTCTTCAGGAAAACTTTCACTGTATCCCTTCCTACAACCCCTACACCATGCCCAGTCCTTTCACTGTCATGACTATTGCGGGAAGGGAAAAAAGAAACAGAAAATGGTGCCCCAATTAAAAAAAAAACAAAAAAACTTGTAAGAGAGCAGTGGGAACCATCTGTGGCCTGAAGTCTCCTGGCTATAAATGAGATCGTTTGTTTTTTTTTTTTTTAGTTTTGGTTTCTTTCTACCCCCAAGCAGGTTAAGCCATATACATCAAGCAGAGATTTAGCACAAATTCTCCTATTGCAAGAGTTTAATTTTCTCAGGTACTTTTGAAAATGGAGGAAGATTCCACATTGTTTTTTAAAATGTCTTATGTGATTATCCTATTGATTGGGGCTAACCAAGGCTCTTTTCAATTGCAAAACAAATCTGATGACCTTTTTCTTTCGAATTTGTTTAATGGCTTTGAAAATGTTACTACAAAAGTCAAAATGTCTTGAGTTTACTACCCAGGGAATTCTCACCCTTGACAAAGATTCATTTGTGTCACCACAATAATAAAACCCATATATTAGAGAAACATCAAAGTATACTTTATTTTATTTTAGTGAACTTTGCTCATTGTTGATTCACTTGCTTTAAAGTAGTCGATTTTCCTTCCTGTTGCTGTATGCAGCATCAGAGAGAAAACCAAGTTTATGCTAATCCATATTGACACAAATATTCTGAATTTCTCTCATTATCTTCCTTACATATTTTTACTTTTTCTATCTTATACTTCAAACTCCCTATTCTTGATCATCAAATTATGTGGCCTGGTTAAATGTAATTTTCAAAGCATTACACTTTCAAAGGTAAATTTTAAAATCACATACAAACACACATTTCAGCACTTTTATGCTTGCAGAAGCATATTGCCGTGGAAAAAGGCCTAAGTGCAGCCACAAGTGAATGAACAAAATATTTGAGTACAGTTAGTGACAGGAAGTTGAACTGATTTGTGGGAGGCCAATTTTTCTGGTGCCGTTTTATTTTTTTAATGTCTTCGAAAGTAAACAACTGATTATCCAAAAGCATTCTTTGCAGGTCTTTGAGCCTCACTGAGAAATTCTGGAATATATCTCATCTGCTCTCCTGGTTCTGCAAAAACTGGTTCAAGTAGACCAGTGGCCTTGGAGTGTCTGTTCTCACTGTGGTGCTAGTGTCACTGGGACAACTGGGCAACTGGGCATCATGACATAAAAAGGCTACATGTTATTGCTCCTAAATTGTTCTGTTTGGGGAGCTTTTTTCAGGTTAAGTAGATAATTGTATCCTCTTCCTCCTCTTTTTTTTTTTTCTTAAAAAGAGAAAAAAAATAATGAAGAAATTGGGGTTAAAGAGTAACAAGCAATTTGTCCAAGGTCATAGGTCTAATGAGTAGCAGAGCCTGGACCTTCTGATTACAAATCTGCTTTTTGTACTGCTCAGCACTGATTCACATATCACAATAGCCTTGGGCCTATAATCACATCCCTAGTTGCCTGCCTGCTGAGCTACATCTGTGTTTTCATGGAGAGATTAGAATTATACCAGCATTTCAACCCCATCACTACCTTGCCCTAGCTATGAGGTCTTGGGCAAGTTATTTTTTCTCTGTGAACCTCAGTTTCCTCAATCAGTAAAATGGGTATAAAGGCACTCAACATTACGAGGGGCTTTTAAAGAAAATGTCCGGTTGTTCATAGGTACCTAAAGACTTCCCTTTATCTTATTAACTTTCTTTTGGCTTATCTGACTCCAGCTAAAATAAATATGTGTCTGATCCTACACTGAACAACTTTCTTACCTGATCCAATCACCGAAACTTCCCCATTCAGGTCAGCATCTGAGCACTTCAGATTCCAAACCTGTGTTGGAATATACGTCTCATACATAGGACTAATCTTTCCAAATAGACTTGAGTTAGCTTTCAAAGGACATTTAGATTAAGCCCAGAATCTTTTTCTGAACTGAAATGTAACTGCTACTCAACATATATTTCATTTACCAACAGATGGCTGCATTTAATTCTGTTTACTACCATAACAAGCTTCTCTAAACATAGACATGCCAAACTGGAGGTAGGTGTGTGATTTTAGGGCCATTCTTCATTTACTTCTGAAAGTGTAATGATTAAAAAATTATTTTGTAACTGGGGAAAATGGAATAATGTTTACAAAAAGAGAAAGTTTGAATCACAATCTTAAAATGAAAGTGAGCTCATCAGAAGGGTTGATGGTGGTAGAGATGGTACCCTGTGCCTTGGGCCCTACCAGAATGACCCAACGGGGATGGGAGTTGTCATGGCTTTAATGTTTGTCCCCTTCAAAATTCATAGTGAAATTTAATTGCCATTGTAACAGTATTAAGACGTAGGACTTTTGAGATGATTAGGCCATGAAGGCTCCACCTTCATGGGTGGGATTGGTGCATTATATAAAGACAAACTTGGCCCTCTCTTGCTATTGCTCTTTCTCTCACCTTCTGACATGTAATGTTTTAGCAAGAAGGTCCTTACCAGATCCCAGCTCCTTGATATTGGACTTCTCACCCTCCAGGACTGTCCATTATAAGTCTCAGGTATTGTGATACAGCTGCACAAAATTATCTAAGACAGAAGTGGAGACCAGAATCTCAGGACCTCAGTTATTCAGAAAGTGGCCAGAACAACTTTGCATTGGAGGGTATGAGGAAGACAAAATTACCCTTTAAACATGGTTTGAAAATAATTTTTGGGCTTTGCCACCATGTAATTCCAAAGTCAGCTAAGGCTACTTGACCCTTTAATATCATTATAATACTGACTCAGTTCTCCATTCTGTACTTGCAGAGGTTCAGAGTACTACCCAAGATTTCTGTGAATTCTTGGGGTAGGGAGAAGGTGGTGAGAGGCAAGGAATGAGAGAAGGATTTACATTTACATGGTCTCCTCTAGGTTCATGGTCCTGATTCTGCATATTCAGCTTAGTTTGTGTGACTTCTCTGTCATTCAAGTTCTTATCCTTTTCCACGTGTCATCAACATGGAGCCAAGGTGTTGTTTTCTCCCCCCTACTGTTTGTAACATACACATACCCACTCACAAGGCAGTTGTTTGTAGAAAGTATAAGGAGAAGAGGGTGAGTTTACCTTGAAATGTTGCAAATAACTTCATATTTAGACATTTTAGTTCTAAAAAGTTTTCTCATCATGTGGAGAGTTTTAATGGCTACTTCACCTCCAGAGAACTATCTCAATGGCTTCCCACCTTTTCTCTCTCCCAATTTACAAATTTATAATTTATTAAAAATGCAGAGCCAATAGCCCTCCCTTTTATTGACTTGGTTCGTATCATGTCCTTAGGGTTTTACCTTCTCTCCAATCTCCAAGTGTATTTTTTTAAAAAAAAAACAAACAAAAATTCTATACCGTAATGCTATAAGGGCTTAAGTTGAGATATATATCTAAGGCATTAGAGAGAGAGAGATCTCAACTAGAAATTCCTGTTCCAGGAGTTCAGAATATGGCCCCATAGGCCAAGGCAAATTTAGACCAGAATACCTAGCCTTTGTCTGCCAATTACTTAGAAGTGACTTCATTGATTTGTGTTAAATAAATGAAGATAAAATCTGAATGAACCTTAAAAGTGGGTGAGAATTAGTCTGCCTTCTTATTCTCCAAATAGACTTAAATCAGAGAAATTTATTGATGTGTATCTGTGTTTAAATGTATCCTTACTTTTTGCTGTTTCTTAAGATTCAGAATTTCATTAAGTCTCAGGATTCTAATTTCTAAGTTATAAAACTAACATATTCTTGAGTACAGGGATTTTTTTAAAAAGCTGGGATATCAAGTTTTTCTATAAACTATGATAATTCATACATAATTATACCTGACATCTAGCATTTATATCATGGCAGATGTGGAAAGAATTGCATTTATTTTTGATGGTATTTAACAATCTTTCTATCCACGAAAAATTGTGGGTCTTGTGTGTCTAAGGTAAACAAGTGCAGCTCTTTAGCTCATCTCTGCATTCCACATTTGCATATTTTACTTTTTCCCCCGATTCCTTTCATGATTGTTTGACTTTGCCTATATGGGTAGAAGGGGAGAGGGAAGAACAGACCAGTATTTGTTGTACTGAATAAGTTTCGAACACAGGGAGAACTGTTTAATTTCACTCTCATGACGGTTAGATGGGAGCTGTAAGCATTAGTGATGCTAGTTCACCATGATGCAAATTCAGCTTTCTTCTCAATTCCTGAGATTGGAAGTGCTGAATCTGCAGCTGCTGTGATATTAGTCTCTCTTTAACAAAATTTTTTTAAAACCTCTAGCATCTTTCATTTATCTTGGAAAAACCAAATATGTACATGCTGTACTTTCATTTTCTAAAGTTTCATTTAGAACAGATGACATGTGAATTTTTTCCAAGAAAAAAAATAGTTTCTTATCTGCTTTGACTTGTTGATTATTTCTAAGTGCTCAATTACCGAGAGCACTTCTTGGGTCTAGCTCTTCTGCTGATAGAACAGCAATGCCCCCTACTGATAAATTTCTGAAAACCTTTCCTTAGAAAATGAGAACATAAACCTCTCACTTACAGGCACAGTATTCACCAGCTTCCTCTGAAAAAGACGTGTGCTTCTAGGCTCATCTTAGTGTGACTTATTAGCCTCTCATTAGTGTAATTTCCTGAATTAGTCTTTGCTAAAGCAGCTATGAAGTTATTCCATGCTTGGCTGGCTTTATAAAAAATAATTTTAAAGATGTCAGCAGAGCTTTATACCTGACAAAATGGGAACCAGAACTATTTGATTATAGTAATGTAATTCCTGTTACATTATATTTATATTTAGAGTGGGAGAGTTCCTCATAATACCTTCATATTTGTCTTACTGTTTCTTCAGTATTTATAGAATTTCTGGTAGAGAGACTTTAAAGCCTGTTGTTCTAGATTTACTTGAATGCCTTCTAGTATTCTCTCCATCAAGTAATTGCCAGGGTTGTGCTTGGTTTTCCCTAGCAATAGAAAACACACTACCTATCAAAGCAAACTATAGCATCTATCTTTAAACAATTCCAAAAAAAGTCAATGCAAATTTTTTTCTGTTTAACTTCCAAATACCTATTGGACCAATTTTACCCTCTGGCTGTTATATTAACTTTTGCTGTAACAAATCTAATTTCTCATAATTCTTCTAATATTTGAACAGAGGAATCACATCCTTCTCCTGGCATTCTTCTCTTCCCTAGGAAAAGTAATAACTATCAGAGAAAAGGCAAATATTTCTATAAATGTGGACCAAAGGACAGAATGCCAGTAGAATATATAATTCCTATTTTTAAATCATAGACTAATTGTTACCCTCTCTCTCTAAACTCACACACACACACACACACACACATTTTCTTCATAGTTACCATAATACACTTGAAAAAATGACCATCTTTTTTTTCCTTTTTTAGTTAACGTGTAATAACTGTACATATCTATGGGTTATAGTGATATTTTGATACATGTATACAACGTGTAATGATCAAATCAGGATAATTAGCAAATCTAATACTTTGAACATTTTTTTCTTTGCATGTGAACATTCAAAATCCTCTCCTCTATCTTTTTGAAAATATGTATTATTGTTAACCCTCAAAAGCAAATGTAACAAAACCAAAAACAGACAAATAGGACTTAATTAAACTACAAGCCTTCTGCATAGCAAAATAAATAATCAGTAAGCAAACAACCTATAGAATGGGAAGAAAATGTTTGCAAACTATATATCTGACAAAGTGTTAATATCCAGAATCTACAAGAAACTCAAGAAAAACAAACTCATTAAAATGTGGGTAAAGGACAGGAACAGGTATTTTTCAAAAGACAACATACAAGTGTATCTTTAAATGTGTGAAAAATGCTCAACATCACAAATCATCAGAGAAATGCAAATTAAAACCACAACAAGATACCATCTTACACCAGTCAGAATGGCTATTATTAAAAAGTCAAAAAACAATAGATGTTGGCTAGGATGTGGAGAAAAGAGAACACTTATACACTGTTGGTGGGAATGTAAATTAGTACAGCCTCTGTGGAAAACACAATGGAGATTTCCCAATAGAACTGAAAATAGAACCACCAAATGATCCAGCAATCTCACTACTGGGTGTCTACCCTAAGGAAAATAAATCATCACATAAAAAAAGATACCTGCGCTGTTATATTTATCACAGTACTATTTACAATAGCACAGTCATGGAATCAACTTAAGTGTTCATCAACTGATTGAATAAAGAAAGGTCGTGTGTGTGTGTGTGTGTGTATAGCAAAAATTAAGGACACATTAAACACAGATACACATCTATAAATTTCTCTGATTTAAGTCTCTTTGGAGAATAAGCCTATATATACATATAGGCTATATATATATTCCATTGTGTATTCCATTTTATAGATGAGTAGTATTCCATTGTGTGCATATATATATATACACACACACACACACAAAATTCCATCATATATATACATATATATATAGCCTATATATATAGTCTATATCTATATATGTGTGTGTATATAGCCTATATATATATATACATATAGGCTATATATATATTCCATTGTGTATTCCATTTTATAGATGAGTAGTATTCCATTGTGTGCATATATATATATATATATATGCTATATATGTGTGTGTGTATATATATATATACACACACATATATATATACACACATTTCTCTGATTTAAGGCTATTTGGAGAATAAGCCTATATATATATATATGCTATATATATATACACACACACACAGGCTATATAGCCTATATATATATATATATATATATATGCTTATTCTCCAAATAGACTTAAATCAGAGAAATGTGTATATATATATAGCCTATATATACGTGTGTGTGTATATATATACATATACATACATATATATAGCCTATATACGTGTGTGTATATATATACATATACACACATATATATACATATACACACATATATATACCCTATATATATGCCCTATATATATACCCTATATATATACCTATATATATACACCTCTCTATATATACCTATATAGAGAGAGGTATATATACACCCTATATATACATCCTATATACATACCCTATATATATATAGGGTATGTATATAGGATGTATATATACCTCTCTATATATAGAGGTGTATATATATATATGGGTATATATATAGGGTATATATATATGATGGAATTGTGTGTGTGTGTATATATATATATGCACACAATGGAATACTACTCATCTATAAAAAAGAATGAAAGAAAGTCTTTTAGCAACATACTTCGATGGAATTGGAGGCCATTATCCTAAGTGAAATAACTCAGAAACAAAGTCAAATACTGCATGTTCTCACTTGCAAGTGGGAGCTAATCAATGGGTACACATGGACGTAGAGAGTGGATTAATAGACATTGGAGACACTAAAAGGCGGAAAAATAGGAGGAGAGTGAGGGTTGAAAAATTACCTGTTGGGTGCAATGTCTGCTATTCAGATGATGGGTAGGCTAAAAGCCCAGACTTCACCTCTGTGCAATATATTCGTGTCACAAAACTGCACTTGTACTCCCTAAATACATAAAAATAAATTAAGATTATTGTTAGCCATACTTATACAGAACACCAGAAGTCATTCCTGCCATCTAGTTGTAGCTTTCTATTCATTAACCAACCTCTCTTTATCCTCCTTTCCTTCTTACCCTTCCAGCTTCTAACAATCGCAGTTCTATTTTCCCCTTCTATGAGCTCACTTTTTTTTTTTTTAGCTCCTACACATGCAGTGTTTCTCTTTCTGTGCCTGACTTAACATAATATCCTCAAGGCTTACTCATGCTGAATAAATAGCTGAATTTCATTGAGTGTGTGTGTGTGTGTGTGTGTGTGTGTACATATATACCATATTTTCTTTATGCATTTATTTGTTGGTGGACATTTAGGCAATTCTGTATCTTTGGTATTGTGATTAGAGTGGCAATAAACGTGGGGGTGCAGGTATCACTTCCATATACTTCCTTTCCTTTGGATGAATACCCAGTAGTGGGATGGCTGGATTGCATGGTAGTTTTATTTTTAGTTTTTTCAGAAAGTTCCATACTGTTTTCTACAATGGCTGTACTAATTTACATTCCTACCAGCAGTGTATGAGTTCCCTTTTTGGGGACTAGAGGTGGGAGAGAGGGAGGTAAGGGTAGAAAGACTGTTGGGTACTCTGCCTAGTAATGGGTGATGGGATAATTCATACCCCAAATCTCAGAATCATGCAATATATCCAGGTAACAAACCTATACATGTGCCCCTAAATCTAAAATAACAGTTGAAAAAATAAGATTTGATTCCTAAAAAACAGTAACAGTTCCTTTTTCATTGCATCCTTGATAGCAGTTATTTTTTCATAATAGGCATTCTAACTGGGATGAGAAAATAATTCATCGTGGTTATGATTTGCATTTCCATGGTAACTAGGGATGTTGAACATTTTTTCATGTACCTCTTGGCCATTGGTATGGCTTTTGAGAGATGTCTATTCGGATCATTTGTCCATTTTTAATCAGATTTTTATTGTTGAGTTATTTGAGCTCCTTGTATATCCTGGATATCCCCTTGTTAGATGAATAGCTTGCAAATATTTTCTCCCATTCTACAGGTTCTTCCTTCACACTGTTGTTTCCTTTGCTGTGCAGAAGCTTTTGAGTGTGATATAGTTCCATTTGTCTATTATTTGTTGTTGTTGCCTGTGCTTTTGAAGACTTACCCATAACATTTTTGCCTAGACCAATGTCCTAAAACATTTCTCTTAAGTTATCTCCTAGTAGTTTTATAGTTTCAGGTCTTACATTTAAGTCTAATTCATTTTAAGTTGATTTTTGTAAATGATGAGAAATAGGGGTATAGTTTTATTCTTCCGCCTATGGAGATCCAGTTTTTTTCTGCATCACTTATTGAAGAGGGTGTCCTTTTCCCAGTGTATATTCCCAGCACCTTTGTTGAAAAATCAGTTTACTCCGAATATGAGGATTTATTTATGGGTTCTCTGTTCCATTTCATTGGTCTGTATGTCTGTTTTTATACCAATACCATGCTGTTTTGCTTAGTATAGCTTTGCAGTATATTTTGAAGTCAGGTAGTGTGATGTCTCCAGCTTTGTTATTTTTGCTAAGTACTGCCTTGGCTATTCAGGGTCTTTTGTGGTTCCATACAAATTTTAGAATTGTTTTTTTCTCTTTCTCTGAAGAATATCATTGGCATTTTGATTTGGGATTTCATTGCATCTGTGGATTTCTTTGGGTAGCACAGTCATCTTAACAATATCAATTCTTCTAATCTATTAGGATGACATGAAAAAATTACTGTCTTTGAACTAAGTAGAAAAGAGACAATTTCAGCTTCTATGAAAATGTGACTTGAATGTTCTTCGAAAGATTCAATCTCACGGTTCCTTCATAAATGCCTTGAAATTGTTATCCAACCTCCCTTCTTAGCCCACATATTTTTAAGCAAGCAGTGTCAGACGAGGATTTCCAATAAAGTTGGGAAATTACTGAAGTTGGATTAAGGTTTAGGAAAATCAGCCAATGTCTTACAAGGCCAACTGGATCTTTGTTAAATGCTTGTCATTCCATTGAGTGCCCTGCCACTTCAGGCAGATGTAGAATCAGGATCCTGGTGCTTTCTGTGTAAGTCTCATTCCCTCCTTTTATTTGCAGTGCTATTTGCTAAGTGTATAGGTAGCCAATAATGAAGGCATTGCCATACTTTACTTGAACACGGTAAAACAAGCAATGACCTTAAGCCATTAATAACTGGGACCAATAGCCACACAAGTGTTCATGGGCTTGTTTTGCTACCATGTCTTCAAAGTTGCTTTTTGCTATTATAATTTTCTAAAAATAATGCAAGATGGTTGTATGTCTTGTGTTCTTTCCAAAGCAGACACTGAGATGGAATAGGTACATGAAAGGTTTATTGGGGAATATACATGTGAAGAGAGAGGCAGCAGTACTGGGCAAGTGGAGACATTGCTCATGATGCAGACAGATGAGGTCTCTGTGAGCCTAAGGGAGTTGTTCTAGGGCAAAGATTGCTCATTCAAGGAGTCCTCAGTTGTACAGAAATGGCTAGACCAGGGGTGTCCAGTCTTTTGGCTTCCCTGGGTCATACTGGGAGAAGAACAATTTCCTTGGGCCACACATAAAATATACTAACACTAACAGTAGCTGATGAGCTTTGAAAAAAATCACAACAAAATCTCATGTTTTAAGAAAATCTATGAATTTGTGTTGGGCCACATTCAAAGCCGTCCTGAGCCACATGCAGCCTATGGGCTGCTGGCTGGACAAGCTTGAGATAGACCTTCACACCCCATTTTGGTTAGCCATTGACTGGGGACACCTAAGAATGTGGCGTTGGCTACCATTGCCTTATGGCAATGGCTACTCAGCCATTGGCTGGGGCCTTATCTGAAAAGAGCAAGCTCACAGCTCAGATATGAGGTAGACGACCCTGAAGGAGCTAACAGCTGGAGGGTGCCAGATAATCACATTCCTTGTAACTGGGCAGCAAAACCTTTCTTGAAGGAAGATCTGAGTGGTAAAAGTCAGTTTTTGGCACAACGGTTTATCGTTACCAAATCAATCAATCAACATTTGTAGTGGTTGCTTTAGCTGTTTCTGGGTAACAAACCACCCTATTTTAATAGTTAAAAGCCCCAAATGTAATCATTTATTTTTTAAAATGCATTTTATTTTGCACAGAAATTTGTGGATCAGGAATTCAGAAAGAATCTGGCTGATTGGCTCTTGCTTAGGCTTTTCATGTGGCTGCAATTATCTAAGTTATCTACCAGGGAATCCAAAATGGTTCAGAAGTCATTGGCAGTTGAAGCTGCCTGTTAGCTAGGAGTTTGCTGGCACTAACAGCACCAACATGTGTCCTCTTTATGAGCCTTGGGCTTCTCACAGTATGAAAATGAGTGAGTGACTTTGGAGTGTGGGTACTTCAAGAAGAGACATTCCAAGAGACCAAGGGAGGAGCTGGAATTCTTTTTTTTTTTTTTTCTCTGATATAGTCTCGGAAATCTTGCCATACCCTTTTAATCCCATGCTATTGGTCAAGCAAACCACCTTCAGGGAGAGGAGAATTAGATTCAACCTCTCAGTGAGAGAAGCAGCAAAGAACAAATTCTTTGCTGTCAACTTTGATCTTCCATCTTTGTGTTTTATTAGAATAAGAGTGCTTGCTCTCAATTCTATTACAGTAGATACTGTTAAAATTCTTTTTGATTTGTGATGCCTCACCAAAATGATTTCCATTTCTTCAATCATTGCTTCTTTGACATGATGTTGGTGCCTGATTGTTCTCTTAATGTTTTTCAGTTTATATCTGCCTTAATCTAAGAGCAGCATCATACCAAGTATTCTAAATATAGACTGATCACCCTACAGAAAAGCAGAACTATCACTGCCTATATGTTCTAGAACTGCTAATGGAGCCATGGGAGACAGAAGCTTTTGTGGAAGTGATGCCACAATATTCATGCACATTGAGTTAACCTATTCCAGAAACATTAATTAAGTGCTCACTGTGTACTGGTAACTATAAGTACTGAGGCTACAATGATAACTAGAACTTGGCAACTTTCCTTGAGGAGCTCACAGTTTAATGGTGAGCATTGTCATGCAAACAAGTAATTATTGTTCTCTGTCATGTGCTATAACAGGAAAATAAGGCTCTAAGTGAACACAGAGGAGAAAATTTCTAATGCTTCCTAGAAAAAATAAAGAGGTTTCGCAGTGCCTGTGAACACTTATTATGCCTCAAAGAAATTCATTAGGCAAAGAAATGAAAGAAAGAATAATTGTAGCAGAAGGAAAAGCATATTAATAGGCACAGAGGTATAACAAAGTGAGACACATGTAGGTAACCTTACCTGAAGTAGAAATGTATGATTCATCAATTGGATATTTGCAGGCGACAGCTATGAGATGAGGTTGGAAAGGTAGAGAGGACCCAGGTCGTCAGAATCTTAAATTTCACAGTAGGGAGTTGGGATTTTTATCCTCTAGAAAAAGGACATCAATTAACTTTTTAGAAAAAAAATATATTAGTGGAAGTGAAGCAAATGGACTCTTCTGGACCAGAGCAAGACCCAAAGTTGGGAATCTAGCTAAGAGACTTGTGCTGGAAAGAAGTGATGAGGGCCTGAATTAAAGAGCAGCAGATATGAAGAGGAACAGTTTTGAGTCATATTAAGAATATTAAATTGATCAGATTTACAGTCTGGCTAAATATGGAGTGTAGAAAAGAAAGGAGGACTCATGGATGACTCTCCATTTTCTGTCTTGAGTAACTGTATAGATAGTTGTCTAATTTTCAGAGAAGGAAGTACTGTGAGAGGAGCCTTCAGGAGGTGGAGGGAGGGAACATTATGGTTCAGATTGGAAAATCTTGACTATAAGGTGCCTAAGAAATTTCTAGGAGGAGATGTTAAGTGTGGATTAAGAAATAAGGGTCTAGAGCTCAAGAGAGTGTTTTGGGCTGGTACTCTAGGTCTGTGAATCATCAAAGTATAGGTGGTAGTGGAAGCCACTGGAAAAGCTTAGTAGAAAGTAAGGTCTAGAACTTAGGAAAGGGGTTCACATGATAAATGAATATTTCAACATACAAGAGATAGCTGAAACCCTGGGAGTATATGACATTCCTCCCAGCACAGTAGGGAAAGAATACGGAGTTGATGGTAGAACCCTGGAAAACATGACCATTTGAGGTGTGCACATGAGGAGAATTGATGAAAGAGACTTGAGATGGAATTCTGAGAGCTAGGAAAATAACCCCAAAAAAAGGGAGGTTAGGGCAGAGATATATTCAAGAAAAAATGGAGTGAACAGGAGTGTCAAATGCTGCAGAGACATCAAATAATGTTAGGACTGAAAAGTGCCTAATGAATTTTTCAATTAGGAGGTTATTGATGACTTTAATGAGATGATTTGAGAAGAGTGGAGGAAGTCAATGAAGTTAACCCCCATGTAGCTTTGCAGTGTAGGAATGTAAACAGATTGAGTAAAGGCAGTAAAAATTTAAAAGAAAAAAAATCAAAGCATGGCTTTATTTTTTGTTTTGTTTTAAATGTTGAGATATGTTCAGAAGCAGTGAAGATGAAGAGATTCAAGATTCAGAAAGACGAAAAATAATTAATAGGGTTACAAGAAAGCTAAATTAGTTGACAGCTGAGAATGAATAATTTTTTTTTTTGGTATTTCTGTTAAGTTACATCTACGCTCTCTCATCATCACCCAGTATCTGAGCATCACCCAGTATCTGAGCAACAAATTCTTTTAGAACAAAGTGTTAGGAGTTTCCATTTTTTATCTCTATGATTTAAAAAAAAATTCAGTCTCTCATTTCAGATATAGTATTGACTAAGATAGTAGGTTATTTGCACATATAAGTCTCTATAATTTGGAGATAATCTTTTTTCTAGGTTGACATACAATAAAATGCATCTTTGATGTAGTGAAAATCATACTGAAGACAATGTTAAAACCAAAAATTTTTATTCATTAAAAGATGCCATAAAATAAAAAGTTAAGCCAATAAATACCTGGGAAAATTTGTTAATATGTATCTGATAGAAGATTAGTGTCCAGAATTTATTAATAACTACAAGTCAACTAAAAGAAAAATAGAATGCAAAAAAACACATAAATAGGCATTTTATTAAAGAGGAAACATGAAAAGATGGCCAACCTTATTAGTCATTAGAGAAGTGCAAGTTAAGAATACAATACACCTACTAGTACTATATTTACTAGCTGAAAGACTACACCAAGAATGGATCCTGTGAGTAGTTAAGAATTCTAAAACCCTGCTGCTAAGCATGGAAAAGAAAAACCACTTTAAACACAATTTGGTGTTATCTTACAAAGTTGAGTGTGTACATTAACCTATGTTCCAGAAACTCCACTTGTTATCACTTGCCCTAAATAAACTTTATACATGTCTCACTAGACATGATCAAGATAATTCATAGCAATTTTACCTTATAGCAAAAAAAAGAGCTCAATTTAAACAATGAAAATAAATGAACTTCAGCTACGTGCAAGAATGTGGATAAGTATTGCAATATAACGTGTGGTGAAAAAACATGACTGATATACCATTTTTATTTAAATATATAATTTAGGTAAACATACAATGTTCAATGAAATGATAAATATAAAATTCAGAAAAATGTTGACCTCTTTAGGGATTGTATCAGGTTAGGGTTGCAACAAGATACAGTAGGCTAAGATTAGAGCTGTATATATGAGAAGTCTCTGTGTCATTGATGATGTCAAAGATTTGGTGATATATCTAGGTATCTATTTTATTATGTGTCCAACTTACACTATATATTTTTTCTAGTGCATATCAAGTATTAAACGCTAAAAGAGTAAGAATCCACTGGACTTGGGAGAGCTCTGTATTCTTACCCAGGTTCTTTTGTTTTCTCTGGAACCACAAAAAAGTTACTTGTCTGATCTTTGGTTCCCTCATCTGTAACTGGAAAGACTGAGTAACCTCTACAGTGCTTTCCAGCTCCAAGAATCTTTAGTCCCATGAGCCAAAGAACTAACATGGTCTGTAAGTCAGGGAACTTCTCCAAGTAGCTGTCAAATTACATATTTTGACATAGACTCCAAATAGGGTAAAGGGACAAAGAATATTAATCTGCTAGGTTATTCTAAATACATGGAAAATCCAAATAAGGAAAGACAAATAAGGTTGTATTTGGTTATTTGAAACTATATTGTTTTACCTCTGGGTCAAAGGGCTACTTGACCATAATCTCCCATATACCTCTCAAAATTGAATATGAATATATATATATATATATATATATATATATATATATATATATATATATATATATAGATAGATAGATAGATTTGTATAAGCACTGAAATCTAGGGAAAATGACATTTAAATGGCAAAAGTCTCAATATCTCCAGATATGACACAGATTGACTCATAGGAAGAGAGAAGACACTGAGGCCAACTTAACAAACTTCTTACCCACCCTAAGAAAGGAGTAGTAGCACATGAAATAAAAAACAAAACTCCTTAGAAAAACTCTATTAACATTCCCTAATTAAGAGGACAGGGACAGACTGTGGGACACACAGGCTTAAACCACTTGGCTGACTTTTCACCAATGCTAATCAACATACTAGCAAATGATAATAGCACATTTATAGTGTGTACTATATGCCAGAGATAGTTCTGAGCTCTTCAGGTAATTAGCTTATTGGTAGATACTATTGTTTCCATTTTACAGATGAAGGAACTGAGTTATAGAGAATTTAAGTGATTCTCTACAGTTAGTGAGTGGCAGAGGCAAGATATAAACCCAATCTCTTCCCTTCTAGAGTCTGGTGCCTTAATCACAGAATTATACTATCTCTCAACAGCAAAAGAAAGTAACTATATCTGGTGCCCATTGCCGTAATACCAGTGTGTAACAAAGCACTCCAAAATTCAGTGGCATACAACAGTAGGCATTTATTTAGCTTGTATGTTGGTTGTCTAGACCATACTGGGCCGTTTTCCTGTTCTTGTCTGGGGACACTCCTAGGTCTCAGAGTTAACCAGCTATTGTCTGTGGTGCACACATCTGGGAGTTACTTTGCTGTCACCTGCATGACTCAGCTCTCTTCTATGAATCTTTCACATCCTTCCACCTAGCTAACCCAGTTGTATTCTCCTGGCAGAGGTGCAAGAGCAGTTATGAACTCTCAAATGCTTCTGCTTGTAGTCACATCAGCACACATCTCTACTGGCTGAAATAAGTCACTCTTCCTATTTAGTGAGAGAAACTACAAGGGAAATGGCATGTGTATATGGGAGGTCTCATAGAAGAATTGAGGCCTCTAACTCATTAATTTACCATAAAACCACACTAAGAGGTGCCCAAAGCAGCTTCTGCGGCAATGACAAGACTCCTTCCTGAAGCCATGAGCAGCAGCTCCTGGAAGGAGGGACGCCCAACAATGTGTCATTTGGATCCAAGCTTTAAGACAACTGGATTCAGAAACGTGGTCTCCACGGAAGATTTTTCCATGGGAGAGAAAAAAACAGAAGCAGCAACACAAAGGCAACTCCAGCAGCCTTCCTCAGGCTTCTAGATGACCACATTGGGTCTTACATCAACCACTTAGCATCTGAGAGGCGAATTTGCACAGCCACCATAGAAAAAGGAAGGGGGCCTCAAGAGAGATTTATGAGGAAAAGTGTTTTCAGTTTCTGATGGGGTTGACAGTTACCACATGTCAATCTACAAAGCATCTCTGGCTGGTGGTTGTCTTTAGGCACTTGAGAGAAAGTGGGTGTGCAGTAGTCTGGGTATGGGTAGTAGTCTGGTATTACCATCTAGCTGCTAATGTCTGAATCTTGCCTTTCACCCATTTACTAAACAAGCACACGTAGAGCATTTACCATGTACCAGACTCTGAAAACACATGAGCTGTGCTGTGTTTGCAATCACTGGGGATCTCTTAGTCTGGAGCGCTGATTTTTCACTGGCCCCCAGGTAGAGGGATGTGTCTTTCAGGCCCAGGGTACTCCTTGAAATATTGTAGGAATTAAAGCAGCCTGATTATTGCTGTTCTGTTTCCTAAGGCTCCTCAGTCTCTGAACATGCTGAGTGAGTATAACCACCTCTTAAGTATATCCAGCTAAGTTTTTTTTCTGATTCTCAGGGAATAGAGTTCTTATTCTCCTTCACAGAAAAATAAATAAACTCTGTTCAGGAAAAGGGTGGCCTAAGACTGGGTGAGCTCATATAGCAATACTAACAATTTTAAGGATCTACTTCTGGAGACAGTAGAGGGTGAGGTATAAGGTGTCAGGTGATGAAGCTCAGACCAGCTCCCTGACTACTCACCCTAGTTATGGCAGTTCGGACATCAAAGATGTCAAAAATGTGAAGACACCATTGAAATGATCTTTCACACACTGAGTTCCCTACCCTCTGGTGGCCATTGCAAGAGGTCAGAAAGCAGGCAGTCAAAAATGAAAAGATACCTGTCATGAACAACATTAACTGTGTAAGAATATAACTTCCTGAACCTTTTTAGCTCAGCATGCTTGGCCTAAGTCAAATGCTCTAAATGTATCTTACAAAGTACTTTCACATTTCATTGAATAAATTTCAACTGCAAATACCGACAAGGCATGCTCAGGCATAAGAATCCTAGTATAATAGCAAAGTAGTTAGAGTGCCAAATGATACAGATTATGCATTGTGCTATGTTCAGAAAGTTTTAAAGAGGAACAATCATTTTCAAAAGAACCAGAAATCAATCAGAGAGGATAAAAGTGAGAAAAGGAGGCTTAGATTACTTTTCATAACCTCCAGTCAAGCATGGATATCCACAGAGTGACAGTTTTTCATACGAATCAGGAGATTATGAGCTCTGAGATCCTTTCCCCTATCATGTGTATTAGGATAATTGTTTCTCTAATTCAAATCTCTAAGCAGCTTAATACCTGTTCTTATCTTATTTCAATTTAGAGAAAACAACGAAAATACTGTATCTGCTGTGTGTCTGCTTCTCCAAGTGAAACTTTAAATTACTCCAAGCTCTGAGCTTAAGTGGTTGACCAAATAGGTTAGGCATTCCTTCTAAATATAAAAAGGTGAAGAAAGACTTTCTGAGGCCAAAACTCAAAAAGTGGTCTTAAGATTGTCAGGGGAGTATAATAACATCTTCCTACCAAAATACATCTGGGAACAACTTAATCTAAGATTAGAGGGTAAAAAACAAAACAAATCTTTGCTGCATTCAATGCTGTGAGTTAGGTAGAACCACCATGATTATACCAAATTCCACGCCAAACTTCATGATATGCCAACACTATTAGGTGACAGATTTGGGGATTTATCTGTAGCAAAAGATAGCCATCCTCACTGAAGCCATTTGGCTTCCTACAAAATTAAACCATCAGTGAGCAAATGTCTAGCAGTATCTCATGCTAGATTGCCTCTTGTGTGCCTCTCTTCTGGAGAAGATGCTTTGAAACTAGAGTTTTCTCATCTCAGGACCTTGTGGGTACTTCTTTAAGTGAGCTTAGAAATCATTCAAGCATGTATTTAAAACCCCATGATATTCTATCTCATTTTAGAACCTACTATCTAAAAAGGTGGTACCACTTGTGTTATCAGGGGTGGCCCAATTATAAACGATTGGTAATGACTGTCTGGAGTACCATGTGGAAAAGATCAACAGGAAAGAGTCCCAAAAATTATTGGCACATCTGTCATAATCATGGATGGAGGAGGGTGGCGCATATAGCATGTTTTTGTCATTTCTAATTCTGTTGACTCTATACTATTTTTTTTCCTCACATTTTCTCACTTCTTTAAACACAGGAAATGGCAGCCCGGTTAGGTGTGGAAAAGTGCTTAGATCCTCCACATTTTGAACAATGAAGATGGTCTAATGTGTGTCATTGTCTGATCGTTTAGTTAGGTGAGCGTTATGAAATGGTACAGGTTTTTCTCAACTACAAATACCCAACATAGGAATACTAGAAGTGGACAACTGGTCTTCGCTCTGGAGATAGAGAAGATGCAACTCCTAGAATCCCAAAGAGCAAGAAAAGGTTTTGTAGCTGGCACATCTCTTCTCATCTCTTGCTGGACAATGGGCACAGCTGTATTTGAGGGCTTATGTTTTCTGGAGATGATTGCTTTCCTTTCTCTACATTGTCGTCCACACCCAGTACAGTAGTAGGGGTTCAACCGATATTTTTTGCAATAAGAATTAAATCCGTGCTGCCTAGTGCTAGATTGCCACAATTTAGGAAACACTTTACATGATAAAAATGTTTTTTAAATGACTGCATTTCTACGTTAGTACCAAAGGCTTATTACTTTTTCCAATTTATAGCACAACATGGAAGAGCACAAAACAGAAGATCTAGCTCTTCCTCCCTTCTCAATACAGCCCCACCATTCTGCCTCAAAGAACACTGGGACTAATTCTGTCATGCCCTTTGTTCCTATCTTAGAAAATAAGGACTCTGGGTCTTCTCTCACCCTGTGGTTCTTGTGCGCACACAGCTCTGTGCATCTCGAACTGATTCCATCCTCCTCCTTTTCAAAGAGCACCCTCTTATGCTTACTCAAAGTATGAGTTGCTCTATGAATTCCAAAACTCACCCGCAATCAGCAAAATCCATTACATTCTTAAAGTTGTCTGAATAGTACCTTCCCTTTCCTACTGGAAATTTGGCTCTCCTTAATTATATTGCTTCCCTAGAGCCCTCCCAAGTGGCCATGTCTTATTTCCCATATCTCTTGTACTAATGGACTTAGTGACAGGCTAGGTGTTGTTTTTGCTCCTCATTGCTTCTTCCAGACTAATGTCCTGCTCTCCTCCTTAAAATTAATCCACTTGGAAACTCTTACCATCAATCAATACCACTAACCCTGCCTCCTTGCTGCAGTTATACATAGTTGTTAAAAAACGAAAGAAGTCTTTGCTGCATTCAATGCTGTGAGTTAGATAGAATCACCATGATTATACCAAATTCCATGCCAAACTTCATGATATGCCAACACTATTAGGTGATAGATTTGGGGACTAAACTGTGGCAAGAGATAGCCATCCTCACTGACACCACAGCACCTCCCCTATTCTTTGGAGATTCTGATCCTTGTCCATGGCTGACTGTTGCTTTCTCTGCAGGTCTATTCTTGTCATCACCTTTTTCAGTCTCATCTCCTGGACTCCTCTTTATTCTATGGGTTCACTAACTAGCTGATCACATACTCTGATGACCCCCCAAATTGTGTCTCTAACCAAGAACTTTCTTCAATTCATATTCAGCTGCCTCCTTCATGTCTCACTTGGATGTCTAATAGGCATATCAAAATATGTTCAAAATTAAACTTATTTAATTTTAAACCGATAGCCCCCAAATTTGTTCCTTTTACAGCCTCTCCCATGTGGACCAAGACTTCATTTTTGTGCACTGTTGTTTCTCTACTGCCTGGCATATAGTAGGTGCTCAGCAAAAGTTTAGTGAATGAATCATTTTTTATTTTCACAGTAGTTTAAACTGTTGTAAAGCAGGGTATTTCACTTTTGCTTTATTATGAGAGAGTAAGCTAGATAGAATGTTGTGAGATTGCTCTGGAAATGCAATAGCACAGCAGTGTTAGAAGTATTCTGAGTACTTAGTAACTGATGTGTAAGCAAACCATTGTACCAAATCTGATTTTTCTGCCTGCCATCTTCTGCTCCAGTCTCGTATAGATTACCACCAGGGTCAATCTCTTCAATGACAGATTTGACCATGCCACTGCCTTGCTCAAAATGCTTCGGACTATATAAAGAAATTTAACTTCCTCTACCTGGCATCCAAAGGTCTCCTTTTTTGAGTTTCACCTGTTACTTCTCCATCTTCATCCTGAGATAGGGCCCTTGATACAAGCAGCATCATAACCCTAAAGGTGACTCTGGTCTCTCATGTTCATCAAGACTTTTTGGTTGGAAATGACAGAAATGAGAAGAGAACGTACTGGCTCATGTAGCTGTAAATATGTCTCTGTACTGATATAGAAGGATGGTTGGTCACAATGTATTGTTGAGAGAAAAGCAAGCTGTAGAACAGCATGTATATTGTGATTCTAATTTTACATATTTTTAAATCTACCTATGATTGAGTGTGTTTATATGCCTGAGGAGGAAAAAGTCTGGAAGGATAAATATACACCAAGTATTAGTAATAATTAACCTTTAGTGAATAAAAAATCCTGATGATATGTTTTCCAATTTACATATTTATATATTACAATATTCTATAGAAAAGGTTTAAACTTACACTTCGTTCATGGTATCACCCTGCTAATGCAATGCCATCATATGCCATCCAATATGGAGCCAGTAGCTATGTATGGCCACTTAAATTTAAAAGTGAAATAAAAAAATTCCATCCATCAGCTGCACTAGCCACATTTCAAGTGCTCAAGAGCCACCTATAGCTAGTGCCTGCCACATTGATTGCACAGGTATAGAACATTTCCATAAATGCACAGTGTTACTCCCACAATGTGAAACACCTGTCAAGCTAGATGAACTAGGTGTTCACCTGATTACTTTCTCTAGTATAATTGGCTTCATTTAGATGCAGCCAGAGGGAAGCAGGTGCAGGTCTGAACACTTGTGATCTGACAGCCACAAGGAGTTTGACCGAAGTCCCAATCTGTTCATTTATGCAGGATCCTTAAATGTGTTTGGGAAAGACATTATCTTAGTGGCAACCTATTGAGTAATTTCAAAGGGAAATAAGAAAAATCCTTATCCATTAATTTTTAAAGGAAAATGAGAACATCTGAGTCTCTTTGCAACATTGAGATTTACCTGTTTTAATTAGAAAAACAAACTGCTTGACCTGAGAGAATGTTTTTCCTTTTCATCTTATTTGCCTAATTCCGAAGTAACTTGGCCATGCTCATGGAGAAAGAAGAATCATGTTCCTTTCTGGCAAGGAAATTAAAACGGTACCATAAGTACTTCTGTTTAAAACTGTTTGAAAGCAAATGTAGGAAATGCTTACCATGTTTCCTAAGTTTTTTTTTTAATTGATTTGTTCCATGTGGCATGATGAAAACTCGATGTTCGTTTTATGTTTTCATTCTAATATGGAGTCATAAAATCATTTTTCATTCTAATGTGGAGTCATAAAATCATTTTTCATTACCTAAGTCCCTAATTTAAAAACTCATGATGAGAAAATAATTCTTATTATAACCAAAACTCTTTTAAAAAGATTTGAGATAAGTGTGATTTTAATATTTAAATAGAACTTTATTATATCTCTGATCTCCTTTGAAAACTATGAAACAGTAGGTTCATGAAAATATTCCTCATTTTTTAGAGCAAAATTATTACACTGATAGCTGTGATGAATTACAGTGGAGGGTTCCACAGCATTTCATGGTTGTGGACTTTTGTACAAGAGTCAACAGCAATCAGGTGTCTTTTTTTTTTAATTTGATAAAAGACGAAGAATGCATTAGTGGCCAGGCATGGTGGTTCATGCCTGTAATCCCAGCACTTTGGGAGGCCGAGGCAGGCGGATCATTTGAGGTTAGGAGTTCAAGACCAACCTGGCCAACATGGTGAAACCCCATCTCTACTAAAAATACAAAATGAGCTGGGTGTGATGGCGTACACCTGTAATTACAGCTACTTGGGAGGCTGAGGCACGAGAATTGCTTGAACCCAGGAGGCTGCAGTGAGCCAAGATCATGCCCCTGGACTCCAGCCTGGTTGACTGAGTGAGACTTTGTCTCCAAAAATAAAAAAAAAAATGCATTAGCATGCAGCATGATTCTTATTTTCTACTCATTCTGTTTCTTTTTCAACAAGTCAGATTTATTACAACCATAAATTGAGAAAGGCAGTATTTTGGGTCTATTATCAAATGCCACCTTTTATTCAACGTAAAACCTTCTAAGTCTATAGGATGCTAAATATTCATTCATGGGCTCTATTTGGTCTTTGCGTCTACCAAATTGAATTAATTATACTGCCCAGTATGTGGTTCAGTCATTTGATGATTTGTCCTCACCATTCCCTATCCTGACTCTAATGTATTTATTATATGCCCTTAAATATGTATATACCCTGAAAAGTATGTAGTGTTTTTAGTACATGTTTTTAACTTAGATAAAAATCATTGTACTACGGGTCTTTCTCTGCTTCTTTTCTGTTTTTCACTTAATGGTTTTAAGCTTTGTTTTTAAGCTTTTTAGTCAGTAGAACATAATGATTAAGAGTAGAAAATCTAGACCAGCAGTCCCCAACATTTTTGGCACCAGAGACCAATTTTGTGGAAGACAGTTTTTCCATGGACCAGGGGATAGGGATGGTTTTAGGATGATTCAAGCACATTACATTTATTGTATATTTTATTTCTATTATTATTAAAATATAACATATAATGAAATAATTATACAACTCACCATACGTAGAATCAGTGGGAGCTCTTAGCTTGTTTTCCTGCAACTAGACAGTCCATCTAGGGGTGATAGGAAACAGTGACAGATTATCAGGCATTAGATTCTCATAAGGAACATGAAACCTAGATCTCACACTTGTGCAGTTCACAATAGGGTTCATGCTCCTATGAGAATCTCATGTCACCGCTGATTTGACAGGAGGCAGAGCTCAGGTGGTAGTGTGAGCAATGGGGAGCAGCTGTAAATACAGAAGAAGCTTTGCTCACTTGCCTGCCACTCACCTCCTGCCCAGTTCCTATCAGGCCACAGACCAGGGGGGTTGTGAATCCCTGATCTAGATTATACTACATAGGGTGAATGCTGGCTCTTCCATGCTGTGTGACCTTATGCTAATAACTTAAACTCTCCAATCCAATAGTTGCTAATATCCACTTTGTAAAAATATAAGGACTGAATGAATGTGTGTAAAGAACTGAGGCTTAGAAAAGTATTAGACATATAAGAGCCACTTATGTGTTTATGAAAATCCAATACATTATTTTTTAACAATTATGTAATATTCCATCATAGGCAGTACCTCATTTTACTTATTTTCCTGTTCCCTCCAACTTTTTAACCAAAAATGACACTGTATTGACAACCTTATGTCTTTCCTTGCACAAACCTGTGGGATGTATACCAACGAGTGTGACTACTGGGTTATAGGGCATATGCACACTCCCCTTCTCCAGGCAGTGCCAGGTTGTACTCCAAAATGTCTGTGCCAACTTAAAATCTCTTGGCTGTGCATGGTGTTTCCATTTGCCTATATTCTCATCAACACTTATTATCTAACCTTCAAATTTTTGCTAATTTGATTAGACATAAAAATAGCATGTCACTATTGTTTTGATTTGCATTTCTCCATTAGTGAGCTCATGTATATGAAAGTTAGTCATTTGGATTTCTCTAGCATTTGGCTGGTAAATGTTTAACTCCTGGCTATAGGGGATGATGAAAGAGAAGGGAGTTTGATTTGTTGTGCAGTTTGTCAATTTCCATGGTATAAATACTGCAGCATGACCAATTTCAAGCTACCCTTTAGCAACTAGCTCATGAAATTTCATAATAGGCTCTCATAAGATGGCACAACACAGCTCCAGGACACTATTGGATTGTTCCCTCTAGAAATTGCTTATTCATAACTTTGCCCATGTAAATATTTGATTTCCTGTCTTTCCCTTCTGGATTTACAGGAGTTTGTTTTATATATATGATGTTAACTACATCTGTGTTTCGAAGATTGCAAATAATTTCTCCCACTCTGCAAGAGTTAACCCTTTTGTTAACTTTATTGAAGAGTTAGTTTACTGAACAGAATGCCTTGAAGTTTGATGTAATTATTTCCATTTTTTTGCTTTGGCCTTTGCTTTAGGGATCTTATTTAAGAAATGCATCTTACTCCAAATGTGTTTATCAAACACCAGGTTTCATTCTTGCTGCCTGGGATTCAAAGATGAGTTCCTGAGGAGCTTGCAGTTTAGGGGCAAGAAAACAACATGCAACTGAGTAGTGGCAATACAATATGGAATGTGCTTATCATTGCTACATTTGCAAATATTTAGATGTGCCTTTGCAAAGCAAAACAATTTTCCCCAATAGTGCATCTATGTGAATGATTAAAGGGTCTGAACTTCACGAGCTAGGAGAGGTAAAATAATAACTCCTTATAACTTCACAAAGCATCCTAGTGTCTTGGGAATTTCATCTTGTCTCCTTTGAGAAAGTTGTCCAAAGATAAAAGAACTTGAGATGACCTTACAGCAGTGGTGGAGCCAAGTCCAGTGTTCCATTGCTAACCCATTTCTCTGGCCATACACATTTGCTGCTGCTCCTCTTAGTTTCCGCTCCTGCTCCTCCCTGTGCTTCCTTAAAAAACAACAACAGCAGCAACTCTTGTATTATTATCCTTTAACCCAACTGTTTGAACTGCATCCTCTCTTTTGAAACTTTCTGCATATAGCTTATAAGCTTTAAAACAGGATATATGTGTTTTACATAATAATTGATAGAAACTCAAGAGTTTAATTTTTAAAATATTAGGTAGGTGTTTGCTTACACGTTCATAGAATGGTGTGATCACATAAAACTACACCCAGATAAGCCTTGAAGAAATATACGTAAGTCTTTTAGAGATATAGATGGTGATAGTGATGCTGAGCCTGACTGCATTGAAGAAGAACTATCTTGTGAGGAGTTGAGGAGCTCCAAGCCATATTTTTCGAGGGTTCAGGGGGTAAGCAGACAGCCACTGCTGACGGCTTCACCAGAATTGCTCCAAAGCAACCCAGAGATCCAAAAGGGATCTCCGTAATCGCAGAAATTCCAGGGGTGGTGCTCATTGTAAAGTATGTTGTTGCTGCTATTATTGTTTGCCACATTCTTTCATTCTCCTTTCTTAGCTTGCTATGACATATGCATAATAGTGAATAGTGTAGCAAAGAACCTGATGTGGGGGTCCCTATGCCTGAACTATGAGATGGCATTTGTCTCTGAGTTCCTCAAAATGGTCCAAGCAAAATGTTCCTATTTTGTAACCACAATTGAGGTCAATGGTTCAATGATCAAGAACAGATAGTATATTTATCCTGATAGAAATAAAGATTGTAGCAATACAAAAGGCTTTTATTAAATTTGATGCCTGTAAACAGGTTGCTTCTAACACCCCCAAGACAAATAAACAGTCATACTTTTTCTCTCCCTCCCTTCTTCTTTCCAGTTCAGAAACTGTCTGCATTTCCCAAATTCAGTTTCATGAATATTCTTTATATTGATAATTTAGTGCGCCATGGGTAGAAAGTGGGGGAAGCTCTGTGTTCAAATGAGTTTAAATGACTGTATGCCAAAATGCATTTCTGGGAATTCCACAATACCAGTAGGCCCTGAGAATCTTCCAGTAACAAAATCTGTCAAATTGAGTTTAACCCAAGATTTCACAAACTTCTCCTGGCCCCAGATACTTATCTCTCTGTCTCATGTCCCCACACTCCCTCTTCTTTCCCAGAGCACTTATTACTATCTTGTATATTGGAGAACACCACTCAGAACACATTTATATGAAACCAATAGTTTAGTTTTAACCAATGTAATAATATGTCCCAAACAGTTTCATATCATATCACAAACTATAGACTCTCACCCACTTATTCAACCAATATTTTATTATTATGTGCCTGTGCTAAACTGGGGTTACAGATTTGAAGGATCCTTTCCCTTAGGGCCTCACATCTTGGTTTAGAGGGATTGGGATAGTCACACCTCATGCCAGAAGGGCACAGTTCCTGGCAGGTGAGCACAGGAGGGAGCCATCACATTATGCTGTGAAGACTTCCGAGCAATTTCAGGAGCTTTAGTGTTCATCTAAGCCAATGTCCATCCACTTCTGGGTTCTTCTTTATAATTCGACAACTAGTGTTCTGTACTAGAATATTCTGGTGATAGAAAACACATTACATGCTCCCATCCTCAAATAATGAAAAGTACAGCATCAAATATATCACAAAACCCCATACAACTTAATCCCACCATAGCCCATCCATAATGATTAGGCAAACTTCTTTTGTTGGGCTAAAATCCTATTTTTTTTTAGATTAAGTGGATTAATCTATTTTTAAATCCTTAAGTAAGTTATCTTTATTTTGGACTTACAACATCATACATTAGGGTTTTAATGTGGATATTATTATAGCATGAACAGGCCAACAAAATTAATTATAAAAGTTTTCTTTACTCTTCTGTCTAGGTTTAAGACTCAAAATGACTGTTAGAACAAGGGAAAGGCTAAAAGCCACACGTTAGGCAGAAAGTTAAACCAGTCTTCCCAAAGCCAGTTCAGTACTCATTTTTGTACAATGCCTAAAGCTGCACAAGTAGTTAATGGTCAATCTAGTACTGCATCCAGGTCTTAAAATTCCGAAGGCCATACATTTCTATTACACCATGACAGCCAGCTCAAATGTCACTGCTGCCACATACTTCTCTCTCAGAGTTAATATTCACTTCTTGATGTCATTGTGGTGTCTGTCCATCCTTCCTTCCATCTTTCTCAGCCACTCATCTATCCATCTGTTAAGGTATAACCAATTGTGTTATAACACTGATAATATGGTCACATCATCATATCCTTGAAAAGCTAAGAACTTCATCTTTATATTTCTCTCATCCCTCTGAGGGGCTTGGCACATGATTGGTGTGTAGCAGGAGTTTGCTGACTTCTATTGTTTTACCAGAGAGACCTCAAGTTAGCACCAAAATCAGTTTAGTTTAACGAAAGATATAGCGGAACTATAAAATTTTAGACCATAGAGATCCTTGATGGATTGCATCTATCCCCTGTCCCTCCCTTAAACAAGTGAATAAATAAGTAAAATGCACAAGTCATCCATGACCTTCTATTCACAGAATTCTCTTGGCTCGTCCTCTCACCACTGTCACTTTCTCATGCATAGCATGTGTATTCAGCTCTGCCCTTTCCCTTCTTTGAGGCAGCCCTGGGAAAGACCAGAGCTCTTGAGCCTCTCAGGCTCGAGTTCTATGCCTTTTGCTCTACTGATCCTTGCAATTATTGACTATCAGAAACTTGCTGTAGGATTTTATATTTATCCCAAATGTCAGAATCATTTTGAATTTTTAATCTTGCTTTCTCTGATATTAGCTATGCCTGCCAGTTTTGTATCACTATACGTTTAACATTCTTCTATGTATTCATCCATGTCATTGAATTAAAAAATCCCTAGCAGCAAAAGATCAAAGAGAAAATTTTGTAGCCCAATTTAGTTTAAGTTATACCAAATATTTATCCCTTCCTTGATGTAGTTGTAAATCTACTTAGTAATATTATTATATGCTCTACATTTCTCCATATCATCCACCTATAAACAACCACTGAGACACTGGAGGAAGGAAGTACTAAATGAAGACAAGGATGTAGTATTTGTATTTATTCTTCAAGGAGTGGCCAAGTAAGAAGGTGAAGGCAGCCCAAGAAGAGAGGTAGACCTATGTATTCTCCGCTAACTAAGAGGCCATGCCTGATGGGATTTGCTGGCTTGGACTCTATTCGAATGGTAGGCTGCTTCTATCCATTACCAAAAAATATGGGCAGGACAAAGGCCAGTGTGTTCAATGCAGAGAAAATTGCTGGATTTACCTAGAATAGCTGTGTCTTAATCTGGGCTGCAATAGCAAATTGTAATAGACTAGGAAGCATAAACAACCATATAGCTTGCTGTTTTGAAAACTGGGAAGCCAAGATCAAAGAGCCAGCAGATTCACTGTCTAGTGAGGGCCCTCTTGCTGGTTTGCAGGTAGCTACTGTGAACCCCATACATCTAAGACAGGTCTGAATTTAGAAAGTTTATCCAAGGTTAAAGAGACATGCCTATGATATAGCCTGAGGAGGTCCTGATGACATGTGCCCTAGGTGGTCAGGACACAGCTTGGTTTTATACATTTTAGAAGACATGAGACATCAATTAATATATGTAAGTTGTACATTGGTTCAGTCCAGAAAGGCGGGACAACTTGAAGCAGGGAGGGGGCTTCCAGGTCACAGGTAGATAAGAGACAAATGGTTGCATTCTTTTGAGTTTCTGGTTAGCCTTTCCAGAGGAAGCAATCGGATATGCATTTATCTCAGTCAGCAGGGGGATGACTTTGAGTTCTGTCTGTCCTTTGTCCACAAGGCAATTCCTTGTGAGGGAGGCATGGAGCTTTTTAATCGTTTTTTAGAAATGGAATGAGAGACAGGTTTTCCCTAAGAAGTTCCCAGCTTGACTTTTCCCTTTGGCTTAGTGATTTTGGGGTCCCAAGATTCATTTTAGTTTCATACTGCCTCCTTGCTATAACCTCACTGAGGCCAGGAGAGAGAGATCAGCTCTCTCATGTCTCCTAAGAACACTAATCCTATTCATGAGACTGGGACCCCACCTCCAAATACCATCACATTGGGGATTTAGGCTTTGAAATATGAATTTGGGGAGAACACAAAAATTCAGCCCATACAAAGTAATCACTGAAGATTTTGGAGGAGTATACAGATATAATCATAGCTATACCTTAGGATGGTTAACTCTTTAGCAGCAGGGTAAATGATGGCACGGAGAGGTTGAGATCCCAAAGGCAGCAAAAGCAGGTTGGACAAGATTTCAAAAGTGCAGGTGAGAGAATGTGGAAGCCTGAAGGTGGCAGTGGCAGTTTGCATAAATGAGATAAATGTAAGGAGACCCTTCAGTAAGACTTTGGCAACTGACCAGGTATGGCGTGAAGAGAAAGCTAGGGGAAGGAGGAGTCTAAGATGACACTGAGATTTCTAGCCTGTGTAACTGAGAGAATGGTCGTTGGATTTACCAGGATAGGGAACTCAAGAGAAGCTGCAGCCTGGGGAGAGGAGAAATAATGAGTTCCAGTTTAGACTTGTGGCATTTGGAGTACCTATGGAACACATCAAGTTGGTGGTCAGGAGAAAACCCAGAGCTACAAATGATGATAGGAGAGTCAATGGAATCAATATAAGAATGGAAGCCACGAAAAGAGATGAGATCTCCCTAGAAGAGAACATAGAAAGAAAATGACAAAGGGGTTAAAGATAGATCCTGGGTGGGTACCACCATTTATAGACCAGGCTGAAGAAAAGGGAAAATTAAAGCAACAATGTTTTCAGATAGTTAAGAAAGAAGAATGGAGGAAGAGGAGACCTCAGTCAACCTCTACTATCACCCCAAAGTAAAAAAGCACTGAAAAGGAAGAGCAAATAGAAATTTAAAAGCAAGAAAAAGAGCTGAGTACTTATCAAGTGCCAGGCATTGTACTAAGCTTTTTATATACATCATGTCATTGTGTTAATTGCAGGTTTTCAGTGTAAAAAGAACAGTTAAATGGCTCCAGAGGTTCAGATTGAGGTAACTCATTATACCTCACAGAGTAGTGTTAAGTATCATGTAAGATAATATATTTAAAGTTACATAGCTGATTACATGGGCAATCAGTAAGAGTCATTATTATTATTTCTTTGGACTTACTTTTATAATATCTGTCTTCCCTGACAGAAAACCCCATGAGTCCAAAGACCATGGCTATTTTAACATTTTTGTTGCTCAGTTTTTTTAACTAAGTATTATTGATGTCTGTGTATAGTAGACACTCAATATTAGTTGAATGACTGGATGATCACATTTCGTCTACATATCCTTGCCTGTGGGCACCTCTTTAGTCCTTAAAGAAGAGGGGATGAATTCTCATATACACACTGGTACATTTGAAGTCCCTCAGTTTTCACAAGAGGATGTCCTTCTTAACCACACTTTAATTGCTTTAATTAAAAGATATAGGTCTGTCATGGAATCAACCTAAATGCTCAACAATGATAGACTGGATAAATAAACTGTGGAACACATACACCATGGAATAGTATGCATCCATAAAAAAGAATGAGATCATGTCCTTCGCCGGAACATGGATAGAGCTGGAGGCCATTATCCTTAGCAAACTAACACAGACACAGAAAACCAAATACTGCATGTTCTGACTTATAAGTGAGACCTAAATGATAACACATCGACACATAGAGGGGAACAATGCACACTAGAACCTACTGGAGGGCAGAGGATCAGGAAAAATAATGGATACTAGACTTTATACCTACGTGATGAAATAATCTGTACAACAAACCCCCATGACACACATTTACCTATGTAACAAACCCGTACATCCTGCACATATACCCCTGAACTTAAAAGTTAAAAAAAAAAAGATATAGCTCTGTATTTAACTAACTGGAGACTTACTAGAAAAATAGTCTCTAATTCACTGCTGCCCATTAGTTTTTAGAAACTAAACTGAGAAAAACTATACCAAGGAAGGAGTCTTGAAAGATACACAGTCTATCTACTCTTCTAGGAAACTATTTTTGTTGAGTCAGACACTGCTCTAAGTACTTGTTACACAGTCTCATTTAATCTTCATGATAATCTGAAGCATTAGGTACTATAGTATTATTAACCCAGTTTTTCAAATGAAGGCACGAAAATTTAGACCACACACCTAGTAGGCAGCACAGCTGGTTTCCAACCTAGGCAATCTGTCCTGTACTCTTAACCTTTCATTATGCTGTCTCTCTCAAGTTCAACTGCAGCTGAATCATAATGCCTACCTCTTCCATTCTATTTCAGAGTCTTGTTTTTGTGAGTTTTGCTTATATGAAACCTATATTAAGTTGATATGAGGTCTCATATTAAGAACAGTATCATCAGGAAACAATAGATACTGGAGAAGATGTGGAGAAATAGGAATGCTTTTACACTGTTGGTGGGAGTATAAATTAGTTCAACCATTGTGGAAGACAGTGTGGTGATTCCTCAAGGATCTAGAACCAGAAATACCATTTGAGCCAGCAATCCCATTACTGGGTATATACCCAAAGGATTATAAATCATTCTACTATAAAGATACATGCCCATGTATGTTTATTGCAGCACTGTTCACAATAGCAAAGACTTGGAACCAACCCAAATGCCCATCAATGATAGACTGGATAAAGAAATTGTGGCACATATATACCATGAAATACTATGCAGCCATAAAAAGGGATGAGTTCATGTCCTTTGCAAGGACATGGATGAAGCAGGAAACCATCATTCTCAGCAAACTAACACAAGAACAGAAAACCAAACAATGCATATTCTCACTCATAAGTGGGAGTTGAAAAATGAGAACACCTGGACACAGGGAGTGGAACATCGCACACCAGGGCCTGTCAGTGGGTAGGGGCCTGGGGGAGGGATAGCATTAGGAGAAATACCTAATGTACATGACAGGTTGATGGGTTCAGCAAACCACCACGGCACATGTATACCTATGTAACAAACCCGGACATTCTGCACATGTATCCCAGAACTTAAAGTATAATTTAAAAAAAGAAAAATTTTAAAAAAATAACAGCACCATGATACTCACCACTGAATCATTGTTTATCCTGTTACGTTGTTTACAAGAACCCAAAGGAAGAACTCCTGTCTGGTCACTATACCAGAAGTATTCTGCTTATCCTTTAACCATTGGTTTGCTTTTGATCTTATAGATATTGACCACCATTTCCTTATTGCATTGACTGTTAGACAATTTAGAATGAAGCATGTAATTCCTGCCTCTATTTTATATCACCATATTTATTTCCTTCCTGCTTCCATTCCAACTTCTTGCTGATGCTAGCTTACTTTATTTGATGAAAGCTGATTTTTGGAACAAAATAGGAATACATAAACACACCTCACTGCATTTTTGTGAGACGATTATTAACCTTCATATAGATGAGAAAACTGACACTTGGAAACATTTAAAGTGTCCAAGTATGTAACATAGTTTAGTTCTTAATATTCTGCTGACTTATATTTGTAACCTGACTTTCCCCTAGGCCACACAAATTTGAGTGGAGAGAGATATTTATAGTAATCATCCAAGGTTTACTCCTGTGAGCTCTGTGACCTCATGCAATCTGTCTGTGCCTGTTTCCTCAAATGTAAAATGGAAATAATAATGTACTTACCACCCACCATGGTTGGGCAGATGAAGAGTTAATTTACGTAAGGTGTTTAAAACAGTTCCTGGGACATGCACAATATAACATTATCATCTCTGTCTCCTTCTCCTTTTCTTCCTCCCTCTCTTCTTCCTTCTCTCTCCTTCCTCCACCTCCTTGGCTCTTGTGTCTGTTGTATATGGAGGACCTCCATCCCCTCTCAGGGGGTCAAACTTATTTCTAAGGCTCCCCAGTGAGGTCTCATGGGGGCTGTCAATTTATGTGCTTCCCCTCTAGCCTACTACATTGGTTTCCAGTTCTGTGAATGCTACTTGAGGGTTTCCCACCCCAGCCCTTGTGTGCAACTATTGACATTTGTGACTAGGATGCTTTTTCCCAATACCAAAAAACATCCAAATCCTTAAAGTGTGCTATTCCCTGGTGTCCTGGCTAAGACATTGCTTTCATGTCACAACCGTGTCAGTTCTTACCACCTAAGCTCTGATGTCATACTCCCTCTGCCCAACATTTCCTTTATCCCCTCGCTTTATGGAATTGAATATCTATATTGATGGAGCTGGGCCAAAACCAATACCCTAAGCAGACACCACACAGCCCTCTCCTTCCCCATGCATCCTCTTCTCCCTCATGCAATATCCCCCCTTCCATTGTTCTCCTTCTATCAAGTCCCCTCCCAACCAGTTCACCAGGCACCTGCAGCCACGCATAACTCCCACTGGGGATCAGCAGACAACCTCCTACAGAAGACTTGTTGTTCCTTGTGTTGGTGGGCATGCCCCAGGTAGATTACAAATTACATGGGGTTGGAGAGCATGTCTGAGAATTCCTCACCTTCACAGCACTTAGACTGAGTTCAGAGGCAGCTCACAAGAAGAGTTGCTGATTGACTAGCTTTGATAGCTCATGGCCGAACCAGAATGAGAAACTTCTTTGGGGACAGATATATTGTCTCTGGTTTGTCTGTGCTTGGTTCATTGTTTGTGTTTAGTCACCCCAGATTGCTCAGGGCCATCCTAGTTTTAGCCCTGAAAGTCCTGTGCCCCAGGAAGCCCCTCAGCCCTGAACAAACTGGATTGTTGATCACCTAGCACTAGGATGCCCTTTACACTTCAGACAAGATGCTTCATGTATACTCTCATTCCAAACTCTTGCCTCTGTCCTACTGCCCTGGACACACAGGCTTACATGAGTCACACCATCATTATCTGATTCCCTGTTTCCCCAGCTTGTATCAGGACATATAAATTATTGGTCCACAGTTCCTCCAGACTTAACAGCCTGTTGGAAAAGGTTCTCATCCTCTTCTCTCAGCTTTGTGACCTTCACAATTATTGCTCTTCTTGACATTTTTACTTTTCTTTAACCAGCAAAGGGCCTTGGTAGAAACACAGTGCTTTTAACCACAGGAAGCTGAATTTCAGATATTGCTGGATTCTGCCTTCTGAAGCCTCGTGGAATGATCAGCACTTAATGCATTTTTTACTGCTATATTGGATTGTCATTCTTGGAAAGCAACAGCTGAGGAAAGTCCCTGGTACATGAGCTCCTTACACCTTGTTATACTCCCACAGCCATAATTGCTTCTTTCACACTGACATCTTCAACCCTTCCACCAGTACTTGCACCCAGCATGGCCTCACCATCTGCTCATGTGACACCAACATTATGGCCTCCCTCCATGCATTCCTAAATGGAGCTGAGGAAGGCAACAGAGATAGCAAGTGTGCCAGCTGGCACCAGTGACATAAACATAGACAGTGATAAATCATATCTCAGGACAGGGAGGAAGAAAGGAGTATGCTGATGGCTAATTGTGTGGCATCATCAGTGCAGTGAGATGGATCTCTCTGCTCATGGAGACAGAATCAATGTGTGTTGTTTCTGTTCCTGCAGTATGTGCATCAGTTTCCTTTAAAAATATGGTCACAGGAGGCCGGGTACGGTGGCTCAAGCCTGTAATCCCAGCACTTTGGGAGGCTGAGGCAGGCGGATCACGAGGTCAGAAGTTCGAGGCCAGCCTGGCCAACATAGTGAAACCCCGTCTCTACTAAAAATACAAAAAATTAGCTGGGTGCGGTGGTGTGCGCCTGTAATCCCAGCTACTCAGGAGGCTGAGGCAGGAGAATTGTGTGAACCTGGGAGGCAGAGGTTGCAGTGAGCCGAGATTGTGCCATTGCACACCAGCCTGGGCGACAGTGCGAGACACCGCCTCAAAAAAAAAAGGTCACAGGAGAATGTTCAATAGAAAATCAACTAGAAATCAAAATCTGAGTTGTTCTATTTCTGCTTCTGTGCATCTCTAAATAGCATTATTGGGGGACTTCCCAGGGAGTTTGAGGATTGCTTGAAAATGACAGGGAAGGCCGGGCGCGGTGGCTCACGCCTGTAATCCCAACACTTTGGGAGGCTGAGATGGATGGATCACTCGAGGTCAAGAGTTTGAGACCAGCCTGGTCAACATGATGAAACCTTGTCTCTACTAAAAATACAAAAAATTAGCCAGGCGTGATGGCATGCACCTGTAATCCCAGCTACCGGGAAAGCGGAGGTTGCAGTGAGCCGAGATCCTGCCACTGCACTCCAGCCTGGAAGACAGAATGAGACCCTGTCTCCAAAAAAAAAAAGAAAGAAAGAAAGAAAGAAATAAAGAAAAAGAAAATTACAAGGAAGAGTTTCTGGCTTCTGGCTGCTCGGGGGAAGAGCCAAGGCAAGCCAATTCATGCTCGTGGTGGGTGGTCAGTTCTGTCACATAAGCTGCTGAAGCTCCCACCTACCACTACCACCCTTTGGGTCTCCAAGGTTCTCTGTTCTTTATGTCCTGCAAATTTTTATAAACTTTTAATTTATCCAGTTCTCTCTGAATGCTGCTTCCGGGATTAAATCAGCTAGGCAACTATTCAAGATTTGTTCTATAGATCTCAAATTTAGGCATGTAATGCTTTCTTTGTTGTTAGATCTTCATTTATTTCAGTGTATTTGGTGTTAAGATAGTTCTGTTTTAAGAGCTTCCATTCCTTGTGTTTGTCTTGAGTTCTTTTCCTATGTATAAGTTTTTGCTTTCATTTACCTCATTTTCACTTTTTTTTAGAAAAAGGAAGTGGTAGCACAAAGATACCCATAAAATACAATCCTCTTCCTACGAAAGAGGAAGCTAGATGTCATTTTGATTTTTATTTTTTTATCCAGAAGCCCCCATAGATCTTGCCTATTCCCATTCAGGTATCTCCCAAGAGCTGATGAAGCCAAGAGAGACAAAATTGTTTCCAGCCACATGGATGAGACACATGACACACACAAAAATCCCAGATCAGCCCTTTGCAGGGGGACAGACGGAACTCCAGAGACAGAGCCTTAAAACTGTTGGAAGCCTGGTGTTATTTCATCTTCAAAACATCAAGTCAACTGGCTATGTTCCTTGCCATCAGGTCAACTCACTTAACAAGTCAAGCATAAAAGAAACAGTAACTTCATAGCTTTGATTTTATAAACTAGCTGCAATCAGGAGCACCTATTAGTAGGGGTAGCTTTGGAGTATCTCTCTCAATCTTTCAGGAAACATATTTATCCAAGTCTCTTCTCTGTTGCTATAAGGAAAATAAATAAACCAATTACTTCAAACAGCAGAGAAGGCTGGCATAAAGGTTGGTGATTTACATGTGGCCCCAATAAACAACTCCAAGCATGGAAAAACACATGGAAGTGTCCAGAGATTACTGGACAGTCCAAAGTTGTGATTGGAGATCCACATCTCTGGGAGCAGAAAACGCTAGATACTAGAAGAATGTAATCCATAAACAGTCAGAAACAAGTCATGTGTAAGGGCTAGTGAATGAAGAGATGGTTTGTGGCCTAATTGGAATAAAAGGAAAGGTAGCAATGGATGTAGCTAAAAGGTAAACACCTTTAGATAAGATGGTTAGAAATTTGTACTTGAAGCTGGGTGCAGTGGCTCATGCCTGTATAATCCTAGCACTTTGGAAGGCCGAGGTGGGTGGATCATTTGAATTAAGAATCTTCCCTGTCCTTCCAATTTCTCCTCTTTTGATGCCTTTCCTCTTTGGTATCTCTGTTATAATGTGTCTCAAGTACAAACTTCTGTCTGGTTTTGTTTTGTTTTGGAGACAGAGTCTCTATGCAGCCATAAAAAATGATGAGTTCATGTCCTTTGTAGGGACATGGATGAAGCTGGAAACCATCATTCTCAGCAAACTATCGCCAGGACGAAAAACCAAACACCACATGTTCTCACTCATAGGTGAGAATTGAACAATGAGAACACTTGGACACAGGAAGGGGAACATCACACACCGGGGCCTGTTGTGGGTAGGGGAGGGGGGAGAGATAGCATTAGGAGATATACCTAATGTAAATGATGAATTAATGAGTGCAGCACACCAACATGGCACATGTATATATATGTAACAAACCTGCACATTGTGCACATGTACCCTAAAGTAAAATAAAAATATACATAAAAAAAATAAAATCTTTGATGTGAAAAAAAAAAAGAAAAAAGAAAATGATGCTAATCTGCTACTGTATGGAAGAGTTGCAGAATTACTATCCCAGAAGTAGAGGCTGTGCTGGTTCCAGAGAATGGTTTATAGTGGGGCAGAGGGTAAAGGCTGTGCTTCAATGCTGTGGCTAAAGCAATGGATAGGAAAATGGATGAGGATGCCAAAAATTGCCTCTCTGTGCTAGAGTTTAGCTACTTTGCCTCCCCCATCACTCTCTACCTTTTCGTATAAGATGCAGTTTTAGATCCTGATACAGCTCAGCTTTTGCTTTTTTCCTACAGATCAGGAAATGTGGGTTTCTAGTCCTGGCTTTCACACTAACCAGCTGTGTGGCCTTGGATTAGTCATTCTGGGGCTGAAATAAGAACTTTAGTCTTCTTAAGCCCTGAAAAGATTATGATTTCCCTTTACTGCCTTATATGTACTTCAAAATACAAACAACTTTAAGCCATAGATATCTAAAGATGTCCTACCAAGTTCTGATTTTTTTTCATAACTTTGATACCTTTAAACAAATCAACATTTAAAAATATATTTTCTTCATTTTAGTTTGCCTGTTTTGTTAATGCTCAATCTAAGCACATGTTTAGTTTAATTTTTGGATAATCAGGCAGTGGTCAGTTCCACTTTCCTCATCTATGAAATAAAGGTGTCAGACAGGAAGAACTCTAAGATATCCCCCAGCTTAAGTTTCTGTAATTTCATGACCTCAAATGTATTTTCTATCTACCTTTATTCACCATCTTATCTTGGCATTGGTGATTTCCAAATATGAATGGAAAAACATGTTACATTTCCATATCCCCTCAGTTCCACATACCTGCTAAAAACTATATCTAAACTTCGGTGAGTATCTAGGACATCTGAGTCAAAACAAAAGGATAACTGTGTCTTTTTTTTTTTATGTCTGTCTAAATCTTACGAAGGCTATATTTCTATAATAAGATACGATCATCAGCAAAGTCCTTGACTTACTGGCAGAAACCATTTTGGAAAAAGATAAAAGTTATGACTGATGTAGAATACCTGCCAATAACTTAGGGTGTCGAAATTTCCCTTAACCCATCTAGGATTTAGCTTTCCTGTTAATTTCTTCATTTGTCCATTCCTTCGTTTACTCGTGGTTTACCTACCTTTCATATTTCATAAGGTAAGTCTACCTGTAATATTATATGAAATTGCTCATGAACAGTTCTCACATCTATGTCTTGACAACTCTTTTGCCACTGCCTTTTGACTTTTCACCTCTGTCCTAAATGGCTATAGTGCCTTGGTTCCCGTGCATACTCTGAGACTCTGAAAGGGTGGCAGCAGGGGCTGAAGCTCTCTACAAGCCTGGCTGGGATCTGCCTTTCAGATGGGAGCTGCTCATTATTTGCTGGAAGGTTTATAGAACAGATGTTACAAGGCAGACAAGCAAGCACACACTCCCAGAGCACGCTGCGCCTGGCACGCACACACTCGCCAATACCAATATCAGGAGAGCCGCTGCTGGGGTGATGGAGGGAGTGTGCTCTGAGGGGCAAGGGCTGCTCCGAAGCCCTGCTAATGTCTCTGTGTGGCCATGCTGTATTTTCAGCTTGTCATCATGGCTGGGACAGTGCTGCTTGCCTACTACTTCGAATGCACTGACACTTTTCAGGTGCATATCCAAGGATTCTTCTGTCAGGACGGAGACTTAATGAAGCCTTACCCAGGGACAGAGGAAGAAAGCTTCATCACCCCTCTGGTGCTCTATTGTGTGCTGGCTGCCACCCCAACTGCTATTGTAAGTACAGAAATAGACTTTCCTCTTTATTGTCAGATACCCAAGAATATTTTCTGTCTGCTTTTTCTCCTCTTTCTTCTCTTCCTGAGCATTCACCAGCAGTTTTATCAGTGGCATCCTATTTCAGCCAAAACAGAGTGAATGGAGCTCTGCAGAAAAACTCATTAACATAGGTCTTGTCTTGTATGGGTGGCTTTTGTTTTTCGGTATCTGAATTTTAAAAAGATGTTTTTTTTTAAAAAGCATGTGAGAATGTTATAAATCAACAGGTATGATTGGCTAATGTGTTAAGAACAGCTATTGTCCTCTTGAAAAAATATGCTATGAGTTGCAAGTATTCACAAGAGATTCTGAATGTAAGTGCTGGCACTGATATAATGGCTGAGATTAGAGTAGAATAGAATCCCTCAGGCCGATATTTCCTGCTGTTCTCATTGAACTTCCGTAGACACCAGAGATGAGAGAAATTGCTTAACCTGAAGTTTGCTGTGATTCATTCTTGATGGCTCTGGCTCTGTTCACATTACATCACATTAAATTAAGTTGCAACTTTACCTTCATATATTTCATTTTCCCTTTCATGAGGCAAAAAATGGGCCACACAGTCCTCTACAGAGATTGCTTAACAGCATAAAGTTTGCAGATCTGTGTTACCTGGTCAAGTGATTTAACACTTAGACATTTTAATTTTTATTTTTTAAAATGATATTTGGGGGAGTTTTAAATTAAGTGTTTCTGCCTAAATATGCCATAAGGTCAGATTAGTCAGGATGTGATCTTAGTTCCCATTCCCCTCCTTCTCTTCTAACAGCTGACTCCCTGAACGCTCCCTCCTCCCCTACCTGCCCTCTATTCGGCAGTAATAAAAATACTGACTGGCATGCCGAGGAATATAGCAATTGCTTAGATATTCAGTTCGAATATTAGTTTTTTGTGCCAATGTTTTGCTTGCTTTCAGATGAGAAATGGAATAGAATTTTGAAGATAAATAATATGGGCATAATAAATTCATTTGGCTCATTGACCCCAGGCTCTACAAAGCTCTCCCTTAAATGATAGGACTGTGCTGTAAGGACTAAGATCAGCATTGATGAGCCACAACATGATGTATCAGAAGGACTAAGAAACAAGCTTTGCTGCCTAACACACCTGGATTCACATCCTGACTTTGGGCAAGTCACCTCACTGTTCCCTCCCATACAAAATAAGGACAACTGAATGCTTACCTCATGCGTTGCTGTGGGGCTTAGAAATGACTTAGCGCAGTGCCTGGCATTTACGAAGTGTTCAGGAACAGGGAAACAAAAAACCTGGCTGGAACTGCTCTTTGCCCTCTTTGGAATCACAGACCAACTTCCTACTTCTGAAAGGAATGAAATTCCACTGAGAACCCTCATTAAGACCTCTTCTCTCCAATTCTAGAGTGAAGGGAGATATGCCCATTCCTCAGAGGAAGGGTAATCTCTGTATGTCTCTTACCAGCCTACAGAATAAGAGAAAGCATACAGGACACCTTTCCATGTACCTCACAATGTGACACACTCCACACCCCACGTAAAACTAGGAGGCCAGACTCGGTTCTGTCTGGTATGGTTTCATGGTGGCTCTACCTGGAGGCTGTGGGCTCAGTCTAGAATTGGGTCCTGGTTTCTTCCTGTCTCATAAGCATATCGCTTTCCTGTGTATTCAGACAGGCATCCCTGAGTGATCCATTGACTTACTGACATATTTCCTCTCTTCTTCCCAGTCTCAGGAAATTTCATTTATCGTTGCCTAGGTTCTCCTTTAGTTACTTTTTATAATTATAGAGATTGTTTTACATTTTAAAAAAATATAAAAAAGGGAAGGAAATGGATTAATAAAAATTGTGGCAGAAAGTTAGTCAGAAAATAGAATTAATAAATTAAATGTACATCTGCCTGGCTAGTCTATAATAGAAAGTCAGACATACAAATACAGTTAAGAAAACATATACTTAAAAATGAAAATATAAACTTAAGACTTATTTAAGTTGTATATACAATTCTGTGCCAATAAATGCTTACATCTCAATAAAATTGAAAACTCTATGAAGATATTTACTAGTGATGCCTTATATCAAATTTTTTAAAAGATGTAGCAAAGCTGAATATATGAATGCCAACAGAATAAAATTTTAAACATGCCAAAATATTTCTCAAAAAATAGTACTCAGGACACACAGCTGTGGAATAATTTTCCTCAAACATTTGAGGAATAAGAAATCTCAAACAATATAAAATGTTTCAAGGCCTTTTCATAAATGAAAAACTTTTCCGTGCATATTACAAACAAGAAAAATATGTATGTAAAGCGCTTAGAAAGTGAGTCCACATAAATACCCACAAAAGCACTCTGAATAGTAACAATAACTCACTTAGCAGTGTTGATGCAAGCATATAAAAACAAACTGGTAGATTTGCCTACCTAAGAATAAAAATTTCCATCAGAAGTAAAGACTGCAAAAAAGTTTGCCACATAGGAGACTCAAATGTAAATACCCTTAATACTTAAAAAGATGAGCTTCCCAAAATCAAAATGAGAGAGGACAAGAATAGACAACTAACAACCAGCAATCAATAGACTGTGTGCATATAAGTATTTCTAAATTCATCACTAACCAAAGAAAAATCATTTTTTAAAGGATACAGCATTTTTCTCATATAAAATTGGCAAATGTTTTCAAAGAACTTAGTCTATGTTTACAAAATGTAGAGACTTTCATGTAATTCTAGTCAAAGCATAAACCAATATTTTCTTTCTGAAGAGCAGTTTGTTAAAGATGTATTAAGAGCTTAATAAACTTCAGACCCAGTCATTAATTACATTTTCTAGATTTATAAAAATACAAAGATTTGTATATAGGGATGTTCATGTCAGTAATAGTTTTAATAATTAGAAACTAGGAACTAGCTAAATACACAATACCAGACTGGTTTAATACATTATGTGCCAGCCATGTTTTTGAAACACCTTAAGTAATGATGGAACATGTTTGTAATTTAATATTAGGATTTTTTAAGGCCAAAAAATTGTATGCAGTATTGTGGGTAAGATCTTTTTCTCTTCTGTAAGAGAATCTGACCTCACAATTTTCTGCCTGTTTCCCCTAGAAAAAGATAATATGTATCAATTATGTCACCAGGTAAAATTGAGCCCTTATTGGTGAATTGCATCTGTTCTCAGATAACTGTTATGACCTGAGAGAGTGCTTCTGCTATGACTTCCAATAACAGTGACTCTGGTAACTTGGCATATCTATTGTGGATCCCCGGAAACTATGCCTATGGAGTTGTTACACCATATATTGACTCCTACAGGGCATGTGGCTTTTCAGCCAGGGTAATTCCTGCATCCTCTGAAATGTATGTAGCCCCCATTCACCTGAGCTGTATTGTTCTGCTGGACCACTGCAAGGACATGTGCTAAAGATAAGCAGGCAATGCTACCCTGCCGGCAAGCTGTGGTTTCTTCCAAGTGGACCAGCACCAAATGTAGTCTGTGGATCTGAATATTTAACATATCCTAAGAAGATACATTGTGGATGTTGCAAGTATAATCCCAAATTTATAATTATAAAAGGAATAGAAAGAAAGTAAACATTTTCAACTATTATTTCTGAATGGTAATGTTAGTTTTTGTTCTTCATTTATACTTTTATATATTTCTTTCCAAATTCTACATGAATGTATATTGGTTTTAAACCAAAGACATACCTCTAAAACAAATTATATAGTCCATTTCTTTTGGCAATAATTACAAAATGACCAAACTTTAATAAGACTTGAAAATGGCAATTCTAATAAAAACATACATCACCAAAACTTTACAAAGAATTTTCTCTCCTCTCAGAGTAAAAGTGATAGGTCTTCTTTATTTTAAGATTTTCAGCAGAAGCTCTTCTCCAGGCTACAGCTTTTGATCTTATCTCTTCCATTAATTCATTTTCCCCAAATGACACAAATTGAAATGTAGTACAACTGCTCCCATGGAAGTCAATGTGATTTGGTCAGTGGACAGAGCATTAAGCACCTACAGTTCTACTCTAGTTCTCGATTATGAAACCCCGATTCAGCTTTTTCATTCCTTTGATAATACTGACAAACCCCCCAAATATATTACATAAATGATGGTCACAAGAATAACATCTTTTAATATACTTATATTCTGCAGACATGGCCTAATTTATCCTCAGAACAGCCAAAGAACATAGAGAAAGTGTGTGGTCCAATTTCTTTCATTTTGAGTTGAGACTGTTGAGACTCAAGTAGGTTAGATGATTTGCTGAAGGTTCCACCTGGTTCTGTACATGATTAGACAGCCACCCATTTGGTTCCACTTATTTTCCTCGCAAATGAGGGGCATTGGTAGGAACCAGGGCTGATTGCAGCTGATAGGTCAATGGCAAAGAGCAGCGTGGCCTTGCTACCCTGCTAATGGCGCTTGATTTTCCCTCAAGACCTAAAAATACATGAGCAGCAGCAAGACAGAAAACAGAAGACCTTTTCTGATAATGCTCAGGGAAGTTTCATGGGAACAGTTTCCTGGGAACAAGGAGTTGCATTCACTTCTCCTGTCCTATCCTGGTGAGGTATGACCTGTTGCAGCTCCCAAGTGCCCACCTCAGCACACACTCCTGCTTCTGAGTATGCATCCTCCACTCTCCTCACAATGCAGTCATCTTTTCCCAGGTTTAATAAGACTAGAGAGGCAGGTCTCATGTCACAGCTTTGCCCCCAGTAACTGTGTGACCTCTGATAAGCCATGTTCCTTCTGTGGGTTCAGTTTCCTCATCTGTACCCAAAAGAAATGGTTAGGCTAAATGATCTCTAAGCACCTGCCAGTTCTCAGATTCCATGAAAACTGAAAAATGAACATTCTCATCAGAAGCTAACATTTGGAGGCTTCCAAACTCCCAAATCATGACTCTCTTTCTGGAGTTTGATTTTGCACCTCTGTGCCGGATTAAGTGTTTCACAGAACTGCACAGTTGTTTATTCCTTCTTAAAACCATTTCCTGTTCTCTATGGAGTATAATGAAGCGTGACGCCTCTTGGGTGATCTGTGAGACACTAACTAACATCAAATCTCAAAAGTGTAGCTCAATGTGGACTTGTCTGTCCTTGGTTTTCTGTGCTCCCTCAAGCACATTGACCATGGAAGAACCTAGCACCCTGCACTGCTGCGCGTCTGCAGATGTGCACTAATGACCCCATTCACAATTGCAGGGATGCACAAGAAATGCTTGAGGGGAAAGACTCTGCTGTATATTCAACCTGTCATTTCCTATTTCTCCTTTTGTGCTTTGCTGTCAGAAAAGATCAGCATCATATTGAGACACGGCCACATGGGATAAATCGCAAAAGGCCAAGGCCACTGCTGTCCCAGATCTTCAGGAAAGGTTAGAGCATGGGGGATTTACTGTGTCCCCGTTTAGCCCAAAGTGGCAGTCTATGCTTGAAAGAAATCTGCAGGGTATGTTCTGACCACCTGGAAACCCTGGCTAACTACTGCCTCAGGCCTTCTGAATAAACTCATACACTCAGAGTCAAAGGAAGAGAGCCTGTTTGGATAAGAGGATTTACTCAGCAGAGAATCTGATTTACCCTCATTTTATCTCAGCCCCAGCAGCACAAGGCATGAAAAAAATGGCTATTAAACCTTTTTTCTTGGCTTCACAATGAAGTGACAGGGGAGTATTTAGTATTGAAGTAGCAGAACATGACTTCCAGCCCGAGGATTGAAATAGCTCACATTTTGTATGCAAGTGTGCGCGCATGCATTACAAGACTCATCTAGAATTTCCTAGGAAAGGAAGAGACAAACACAACTTGATAGAAAGGCACAATTTGGAGAAAATTGTGAATCTTCATTTGGGGGTTTCTGGGCCGTAAGCTCTTCCAGCAAATGTAAAAACCCAGAGCACAGTGCAGATCACAAAGTGGGCTCTCAATAATGCAAGCCTGTTGGCTGGCTGACGAGGGGTGCAGCTGCCGAAGCAAAGGAGACATTGTAGGGTCTTGTACTTCCTCATAATCTGCCTTTTCCAGGCTCTGAACAACCTCATCTGTTGAAACTCTTTATAACATTTTATAATTCACATCTTTTTTCCCTTTTGTACATTATCACATGACTTCCTTTTTTAAAAAAAAATTCACAACATTTTCTTTGTTGCTAATATATTCAGTGTTTATAATTTACATTTTTCTGGAAAAAATTTCTAGATATGCCCATTAATTATTGTGGATTTTTTAAAAAACTTAAATCCATTTTCTCATTTTCTGTCCATACTGCAGATGACTGCTCCAAATCTCCTTTAGAGATTGTTTTTCTCCTGACATCATGCCACCAAGAGATATGCTTTCCATCTTCAATATACCCCTCCTAATAATTGATGACTAGATGATTATGTTAAGGAACTTGACAATTTGTTTCTTGGAGAGAATATTGTTTGCCTAAAAATATGTGATTTTCAATGCATTTTACTTTTTACTCTATTTTTACTTCAATGCATTTTACTTTTTACTGAAAGTAGTATTTTAGCTAACTCATTTAAAATTCCCATTTCTCTTGTATTCACTGTTCAGATAAAAAGATATAAGAGAACACTATGCTTTGGAAATATGATACCGCCCTGGTGCTCTATTTTATATCAAGTGCCACCTAAAGACACCTTCTGAACGGGTGGATGTGGCCTCTGGAGTAAGACCAGTAGAGAGGCTCCAGTTTACAAAAACACTTATTATCCCATTTACTGAACTCTTTTCAGAATCATCCAAACAGCCTTGGTTCCATTTAAGCCTTGAGCTTTGAAACGCATAGGAAGTGTCTAGAGCTGAATTGCATCATTTACACCTAAGAGCTCTTGAACTAGCCAAAGTTCTGCAAGTAAGGGGACAGGAAGCTCTCTGCAGGTCTGGGGTTATCAATGTGACAGCACTCATCAGGAAAGATTAAAGTGGAGCATGGAGACATTGGCAGTTAGGGCTAGCAGCAGGGTCTATAGGTTGAAAATCTCCTGGGTAACTTTTAAACAAAATCTAAAACAAAAACCATTTCTGCCTTCTTGGAGATGTTTATTACTATTGAAGCCTCCCAGGGAGAATATTAGAAGTATCTAAAAATCCGTAAGACTGAGAGCCCTGAAACTACTTAGAGACTAATATTGGGGAGTATATAAAGAACTCTCTCCTCTTCCTCAGAGTGTTAGAATATCTAGAGTGTGGGCAAAATCTGATCACCAGCCTCTGCTGTCCTTTAACAACCCAAAGTGACAGAGATATCAGCAAATGTGATGACTTGGGGTAGGCTGTGTCTACTTTGCTTTCAGGGAAGGTTACTTGGTAAGGGTGAAGGCCCATGGGATTGTAGAAGGAAATGATGGCTGAAGGAAGAAGCAATGCAAGAAATCACGCTGGCCTTGGAGAGCTTAACTGACTGAACTGCGATTGAAGCCCAGTTACATGATTTCAGTTTCCCTTAACGAGCCCTCTCTTTTTGGCTCCTATCATAATGGCAAAGATGTTGGAGCTAAAAAAGCACCTTAGGGATCCTGTAGTAAAACTTCTTCATTTGACAGATGAGAAACTGACACCCAAAGAGGTCAAGCAACTAGTCCAAAATTAAACACCTGGTTAGGGCAGAGTCGAGCTAGAATTACACTATATTTCCTTACTCCAGGACTGGGCACAATGATTTCTTTCTCCTGTTTCAACACACATTCTTGCCTGGGTAGACCAGCAAGTACAAACAGAAAACATAGGACATATATATATGCTTTTACATTCACTTTTTAATCCTCTCAACAACTATGTAATACAGTCACTACTTTCATATTCAAATCATTAGAAAAAGAAAAACTGAACCTCAAAAAGTTTCCATTAGTTACCCAAAATCACACATCAATAAAGGAGAGAGCTGAGATTTCAACTCCAAAGCCCGCATTCAGGAAACAGCAAAAACTTTGATATCACCCAGTACTAGAGCCACAACTAGCATATGTATGACCACAAAATATGTATTCTGGGAATTCTAAATGCCCTTTTAAATTGCAACCACATATAACATGCAGTGAAATTTCCTTAAAATACAAAATTATAATACATCTTTCAGTGACTAGTTTTTTCCACAGACTGTTTATATTCTGAAATCTAAAAACTTCCTCTAAACTTTTTGTATTGATATCAGTTATTTATTGCGTACCACATGTTTTTTAAAATATTTGTGAAGAAGAGGGATGGAGCAAGTTGGTGGAATAGTGCTATCCAGTAATCATACCCCCTCCAACTGAAACAACTTGAGCAGCTATCCATGCGCTAAAATAGTAATACCTTCACAAGAGCTAAGTAAACCAGGCGAGAGATCAGAGTAACTGGTTGGAACACAATAATAATAAAAGATGCATTGAAAATGGTAGAAAGGAGAATTTTACATTACCTGCACCACCCCTCCCCCAACCATCACAACATTGAGAGAGACACCATCCACTTGGGGGAAAGAGAGGGGTGTGAGAACAGGACTTTGCCTTGGACCCCAACCCTGGGCCCACCACAGCGAAATCCAGCATCAGGCAGGCTGGCAGGCACCCACAGCCCCAGACTCCAGAGTAGTATCCACAAACTGAGTCCCAGTCCTGGGTGGGACCCTGCAGTCCCAGACTTCAAGCCTGTGAGGCAGAGTTGGTCTCCCAGTTGTACTACCGCTGGCTTGACTTCAGTGTCTATAGGATCTGGACAGGCCAGAGCAGCAGGCAGGCCTCAGCAGCCCCAGGTTTTGGGCATACCCCACCCCTGTAGTGACCCTGCGATTCAGAACCAAGCTTAATGGCCTGTCCAAAATCTCTGAATGGACTGTTGAAGAGCTTTTCCAGCAAAGCCAATCTGCAAAGACTGGAATAAGTACCTACTTCTACAAATGTGTATATCTCAATACGCAGCCCCAAGAACAATCAGTAAAACATGATATCACCAAAGGGACAAAATAAAATGCTGCTAACTGACCATAAAGAAATAGAGATGTTCGAACTCACTGACAAGGAATTCAAAATAACTGTTTTTAAGGAAGCTCAATGAACTTCAAGAAAATACAGAAAAACAATACAAGTAAATGAGGAAAACAGTAAGTGAGCACAATGAGAAATTTAACATTATATTTAGCATTATATAATTATAAAGGGATTAATTCAGCAAGAGAATGTAACAATTGTAAATACATATGCACCCAGCACTGGGGCATGCAGATATACAAAGCAAAAAATTATTAGAGCCAGAGAGATAGACCTCAATGCAAAAATAGCTGGTGATTTCAACACCCCACTTTCAGCATTGGACAGATAGTTCAGACAGAAAATCAATAAAGGAACATTGATCTTAATCTGTAGTATAGACCAAATGGACTTGATATTTATAAAACATTTCATCCAGTGGGAACACAATACACATTCTCCTCCTCAGCACATAGATTATTCTCAAGGACAGGTAATATCTTAGGACATTAAAAAGTCTTAAATTCAAAAAATAGTCATATCAAGTATATTCTCTGACCACAATGGAATAAAACTAATAATCAATAAGAGGAATGTTGGAAACTATACACACACATGGAAATTAAACAATACGTTCCTGAATGATCAGTGGATCAATGAATAAGAAAGAAGTTAAGAAATATTATGAGTCAAATGAAAATAGAAACACAACATACCAAAGTGGATGGAATCAAGCAAAAGCAGTACTAAGAGGGAATTTTATAGCAATAAACTCCTACAGCAAAAAGGTAGAAAAACATCAAACAAACAACATAATGATGCATCTGAAAGAACTAGAAAAACAAGGGCAAACCAAACCCAAATTATGCAAAGAAATAATAAAGATCAGAGCAGAAATAAATGAAATTTATAAAACAATACAAAAGATCGATTAAATGAAAAGTTGGTTTTTTGAAAGGATAACTGACAAACAGTTAGCCAGACCAAGACGAAAAGAGATGACTCAAACAAATAAAATCAGAGATGAAAAAAGAGACATTGCAACTGATACCACAGAAATTAGAAGGATCCTTAGAGACTACTATGAGCAGCTATATGTCAATAAATTGCAAAACCTAGAGAAAATAGATAAACTCTAGACATATACAACTTACCAAGATTGAGCCATGAGGAAATCCAAAACTTGAATAGATCAATAACAAGTAATAAGATCAAAGTCATAGTAAAAAGCTTCTCAGCAAAGAAAAGCCCAGGACCTGATGGTTTCACTATTGAATTTTACCAAACATTTAAAGAAGAACTAATACCAATTTTACTCAAACTATTCTGCAAAATAGAGGAGCAAAGAATACTTCCAAACTTATTATATGAGGCCAGTATTGCCCTTATATCAAAACCAGACAAAGACACATCAAAAAAAGGAAAAGTACAGGCCAATATCCCTAATGAACATGGTTGCAAAAATCTTCAACAGAATACTAGCAACAACACATTAAAAAGATCATTTATCATGGCCAAGTGGGATTTATCCCAGGGATGCAAGGATGGTTCAACATATGCAAATCAATCAATGTGATACATCATATCAGAATGAAGAAAAAAATTATCATTTCCATTAATGCTGAAAAAAGTATTTGATAAAATTCAGCATCCTTTCATAATTAAAAACCCTCATAAAACGGAGTATAGAAGGAACATACCTCAACACAATAAATGCCATATAAAACAGACCCACAGCTAGTAACATACTGAATGGGCAAAAACTGAAAGCCTTTCCTCTAAGATCTGGAACATGATAAGGAAGCCCACTTTCACCACTGTTATTCAATATAGGACTGGAAGTGCTAGCTAGAGCAATCAGACAAAAGAAAGAAAGAAGGAACATCCAAATTGGACAGGAAGTCAAATTATCCTTCCTTGCAGACTATATGATCTTATATTTGGAAAAACCTAAAGACTCCACCAAAAAAAACCTATTAGAACTGATACATAAATTCAATAAAATTTCAGGATACAAAATGAACAAACAAAAAAATGGTAGCATTTCTATATGCCAACAATGAACAATCTGAAAAAGAAATCAAGAAAATAATCCCATTTACAATAGCTACAAATAAAATACCTAGGAATAAACTTAATCAAATAAGTGAAAGAGCTCTACAATGAAACTATAAAATACTGATCAAAAAATTGAGGACACAAAAAATTAAAAGACATTTCATGTTTGTGGATTAGAAGAATATTGTTAAAATGCCCATACTACCAAAAGTGATCCACAGATTCAGTGCAATTCCTATAAAAATACCAACGATGTTCTTCAAAAAAATAGAAAAGAAATAATTCTGACATTTATATGACATCACAAAAGACCCAGAATAGCCAAAGCTATCTTGAGCAAAAAACAAAACTGGAGGAATCATATTACCTGACTTCAAATCATACTACAGAGCTATAATAACCAATACAGCATGGTGCTGCCATGAAAACAGACACCTAAACCAATGGAACAGAATAGAGAACCCAGAAATTAATAAAATAAGAATAAATAGAGACTAGAAAAACAATAGAGAAGAACAAAATGAAGAGTTGCTTTTTTGAAAAGATAGACTAAATTGATAAACCTTTAGACAAGAAAAAAGAGAAGATTCAAAGATTCAAAATCAGAGATGAGAAAGGAAACATTACAACTGACACTACAGAAATACAAAGGATCATATTAGACTATTATGAACAATGATACACCAACAAATTGGATAGCCTAGAAGAAACAGGTAAGTTTCTGGAAACACACACCCTACCCAAGATTAAATCATGAAGAAATAGAAATTCCAAACAAACTAGGTGATTGAATCAATAATATACAGTCCCCCAGCAAAGAAAAGCCCAGGAGCTGACAGCTTTGCTGCTGAATTCTACCAAAAATTTAAAGTAAAACTGATATCGCACCTTTTCTAACTCTCTCCCAAAAAAATTGAAAAGGAGGGACTACTTCCAAATTCATTTTACAAGGTCAGCATTCCCCTAATACCAAAGCCAGAGAAGGACACAACAACACAGGTCAACATTCCTGATGAACATAGATACAAAGATGCTCAAAAAACCCTAACAAATCAAACTTAACAGCACAGTTTAAAAGACCATTTACCATGATCATGTGGGATTCATCCCAAGGGTGCAAAGATGGTTCAACATACACAAATCAATAAATGTAGTACATCACTTTAAAAGAATGAGGAACAAAAACTATATATTTCAATAAATGCAAAAAAATGATTTGACAAAATTCAATATCCTTTTACGATTTAAAAAACCCTCAACAAATTAGGTATAAAGAAATGTAACCCAATACAATAGAGGCCATATGTGGTAAACTCACAGCTAAATTCATGTTCAACGGAGAAAAGTTGAAAGTTTTTTCTCTAAGATGTGGAATAAGACAAGGGTAACTCTCACCACTTCTATTCAACATAGTACATAAAGTCCTAGCCAGAGCAATTTGGCAAGAGAAAGAAAGAAAAGGCATTCAAATTGGAAGCAAAAACATTAAATTTTCCTTGTTTGCATATGACATCCTGTATACAGAAAACCCTGAAGACTCTACTGAAAACTGTTAGAATAAACTGGTTCAGTAAAGTTGCAGGATATAAAACAAAATACAAAAATCAGTAGCATTTCTATATATTAACTGCAAGCTATCTGAAAAAAAGTAAATAATAATCCTATTTATAATAGCTACAAAAAATACTTAGGAATTTAACCAAAGAGATGAAAAGTATCTACAATGAAAAGTATAAAATATTGATGAAAGAAATTGGAGTTGCAAAAGAATGGGAAGATATTCTATGTTCATGGATTGGAAGAATTAATACTGTTAAAATGTTTAATACTACATGAAGCAATCTACAGATTCAACTCATTTGCTACCAAAATATCAATGATACATTTTTTATAGTGATGGGATCTCGCTCTGTTGACCAGGCTAGTCTTGAACTCCTGGCCTCAAGCAATCCTCCAATCTCAGCCTTCCAAAGTGCTACGATCACAGCCGTGAGCCACCACACCCAGCTATCAATGATATTTTTCACAGGATAGAAAAAACAATCCTAAAAGTCATCAATCAAAAAAGACCTAGAATGGCCAAAGCAATCCTGAGCAAAAAGAACAAATCTGGAGACATCACACTATCTGACTTCTAAATATACTACAAGGCTATTAGTAACCAAAACAACATGCTATTGGCATATAAAGAAAGACCAATGGAATAGAACAGAACCCAGAAATAAATCCACACGTTTATAGCCAACTGATTTTCAACAAAGGTGTCAAGCACACCCAATGGGAAAAGGTCAGTCCATTAATAAATTGTGTTAGGAAAACTGGCTATCCACATGCAGAAGAGTAAAATTAAGACTTTATCTCACACCGTATACAAAAATCAACTCAAAATGGATTAAATACTTAATTGTAATACCTAAAGCAATGAGGTCTTACATAGAAGAAAAGCTTCATGACATATGTCTGGGCAATAATTTTCTGGATATGAACCCAAAAGCACAGGCAACAAAAGCAAAAATAGACAAATGGGATTACATCAAACTAAAATGCTTCTGCACAGTGAAGAAAACCAGCAACAAAGTGAAGAGACAACCTACAGAATGGGAAAATGTATTTGTAAACCATATGTCTAATAAAGATTATTAAAATATAAGAAAATCAAACAACTCAATAGCAAGATAATAACCCAATTTAAAAATGAAGAAAAGGCCTAAATAGACAAAAGACAAATGGCCAACAAATATATGAAAAAAAATGCTCAGTATCACTAATCATCAAGGACATGCAAATTAAAACCACATTGAGATATAATCTCACACCTGTTAGAATGGCTATTATCAAAAGATGAAAGATAAATATTGGTGGGAATATAGAGAAAAGGGAACACTTGCACATTGCTGGTAGAAATGTAAGTTAGTACAGCCATCGTATAGGAATCCATATGGAGGTGCCTCAAAAAATTAAAAATAGAATTGCCATTGATCTAGTAGCAATCTATATACCACTACTGAGTGTATATACAAAGGAAATGAAATAAGTATATCAAAGAGATATCTGAACTGCCATATTCGTTGCAGCATTATTCCCAATAGCCAAGATATGGAATCTGCCTCAGTGTCTGGATTTAAAATGATGTGACATATATGCCATTAAAAAGGCAATTCTGTCATTGGTGACAAGATGGATAAACCTAGAGGACATTATGTTAAGTGAAATAATCCAGGCACTGAAAGACAAATACTGCATGATCTCACTTCTAATTGTAGATGTGGAATCTACAGAAGTTGATCTCACAAGAGGAATAAGTTCAAGAGATCTATTACACAATACTGTGACTATAATTAATAAAATATATTCTTGAAAAATTCCAAGTGAACATTAAGTGTTTGTACCACAAAAATGATAACTATGTAAGATCATGCATATGTTAATTAGCTAGATTTATTAACATCACAGTGTACATACACTTTAATGCATGTGTTCTAGAGATGCTTCAGATACTATCTGTCTGTGTGTGTCCGAGTTCCTGAAACCCATAAAGGGAGAACATTATAAATGATTCCAGTTTTGAAATTTTATACTTTTTAATTTCTGTTATCCATGTGCCTTTCATTATGTCATCATCTTTATCCATCTAAACAGACATTCCAGCATGACAGGAGAAATATAAGGTATGGAATTAAAACATTAATAAATTTTCTCTAAAATCACAGGTCTATGTACAGCAAAGATGATCATCTATGAGATCACATTATTCTGGGGAAATGTTAAAATTAGGATTAGGAAAATCAAAATGGCATATGAATAGTGGGAAGTGTGGACTTTGGAATCCAATTGACGTGTATACTAATTCCTGTGCCCCATGCACCATCCATATGCTTTGGAGGGTAAATTACCTAAACTTGCTAAACTGTCACTCCTCAACAGTAAAGCAAGGATAATTATGCCTGCAGGAGGGATCTTGTGAGCCTGAAAAGACTATGCTGAAGTGCCTAACGCCCAGTATTTAATAGATAACGGTAATTAACCTTTTACTTTTCCTTGATGAGTCTCGATCTTCAGTTATGGCAGTGTCATTGTTCATGAAAACTTGTCTCTACCAATTCCTTGTTTTAAATGGGAATACACTGTGCTGGGTGCCATAAGGATACTAAAGAGTTATTAAGATGTAGTCCCTGCTATTAGGGGGCTTCTAATCTACCTAAGGGCATTATAATTTAAAGGGTAACATATATTTATTAGTTTAACGAGAGAGATGCCTATAATAAAGAAGGGCTAATCAACCAGTTCAGGGTAGGAGAAATATATCTGAGGCAATTGTGATCAAATAAGAATTTAGAATGTAAATAATTGTAATGGCACATAATAAAGTAATGCAGTTGAGTAAAGTCCTCACTTAATGTTGTGGTGGATAGGTTCTTGGAAACTGCAAGTTTAAGCAAAACAACATGCTATATAACAAAACTAATTTTACCATAGACTAATTGATATAAAGAAGAGTTAAATTCTTATAGCATACAGTATGTCATTTCACTTAAAGTTCCAGTTTTCACAAACCTGTTGATATAAAGTGAGGTCTTACTGTCACCTCTTGTGATGTGTGTATATAATGCCTTCTTGGGCACATTGGCTGTCTGAATCATTCCTCATCATTGCTACTCACACAGAAAGTTAAAAAAGAATTCAATCCCAGCATGAACCTTGTCATAAATTCTATTACAACTTATTATTTCAATTTGTTTCCATGTGACCTTAGATTTTAATATTATAGGCTGAAACTCTATCTGAAATGATCAATTATCACTTTCTCTAATTCTTTTGAAGTGTTAAATGCAAATTACGATCTAATTCACCATCTCTCTCCAACATCTTTTAAAATGATTGTGGGTCCTCAACAGTTTTGTTTTGTTTTTAAAGCCATGGGCCTCTCTTATCAAACAGATCTCCAACTTGACATTTCTTAAACATTCCTTCCCTAGATTTTTATTGGTGAGATATCCATGTATTTCATAAAATCAACAAGAGAATCCCTGATTGCTCAGGAGAAAACAATTCTGACCGGAGAATGCTGTTACCTGAACCCCTTACTTCGAAGGATCATAAGATTCACAGGTGAGTACAAGATGGTGCTGAACTAAGCTCTCACATAAAAGTAAAATTACTAAAGGCAAACACTTGGTAAAATAAACTATGGAAGTATCAACATTAAAAGCAAGGGCTGCTTTGGGGATTTTCCTGATCCTACTGCCACATCAAATTTTTGACTCTCGAAATGGTACTTCTTAAATTGTCTTATGAATGATTTCAACTGATTTTCCCCCCACATAGCAGTTATCTGAGATTCCCCTGGACGTATGTTTTAATATTGGCTGGATATTGCTATATACCTTTTAGCAGAGTCAGGCAAGGGGTTGGGGTGGGGGAGCATCAGGGGACGCCAATAAAATAAATTTAGAAATAGTCAAATTTCCTGACAGACTTCCCATCCAGTAATTTTGTTATGCAGGGAATTTAACAAAGAGTGGGAAATCTCAGCCATCAGGTTCTTGAAAATAATGCCTTTTCAAAGTTGGAAAACAAATACTTTTATTAGTGTTCATGATAGGGAATAATGAAGGCATATTCTACATCCCTCCTTCTAGGACTTTTATGAAAATTCCTGAGGTGCTAGTGATTAATAATTATAGATATGGGAATAAATGTGTATGGGTACAGGTAAGAATAGAGATCTTACAAAGTTCCTACACATTAAGTACTCTATAAATGATAACTATTACAGTATTCTAATGAGATCCTACAAATACCTCCTGACCAGATTTTTAAGGGAGCCATGATACCATTTAAAACAAGAGAACTGACAACTGAGAAAGTGAGGGTCAGAATACAGCATGCTGTCAAGCCTTTTGGTAATCCTTAATCTTTTTTTCCTGTTGTAGGAAATGATTGAATTTCTTCAAGTAATAAGCAAATACCACATCAAAATCAAATATGCAATAACTTGTCTGGTTGGAGTGGAAATGAAAGAAATAGTGCAGTGGGAAACCTAAGAAAATCTAATTTAAAAGAAGTAACCCTTAACATTAAAATAGTCTCAGGCATTTGATGTTATTTGCAGAATAAAAGTTTTTGCAGATTATGCAAGTTTGCAATTGGCTTACAGGGTATACCCTGATCAATATGATGCCACTACTATCTAGTTCACTCATTCCAAACAATGGCTCCTTCCAAAGATGTCCAGAGTTTGATCACTTCCCAGAGGGGCAAGATAAGAGATCATCAAGGGGAAATGAGGAGAGAAGAGAATATTTATGATACAGAACACTGAACTAGACATTTTACAGAAATTATTTCTTTTAATCTACCCAAAACCCTGTAAGGTATTTTATTTTATTTTTTAGACAGAGTCTTGCTCTCTCCCCAGGCTGGAGTGCAGTGGCACGACCTCGGCTCACTGCAACCTCCGTCTGCCAGGTTCAAGCGATTCTCCTGTCTCAGCCTCCTGAGTAGGTGGGATTATAGGTGCCTGTCCCTAAGACTGGATAATTTTTGCATTTTTAGTAGAGACGAGGTTCCACCATCTTGGCCAAGCTGGTCTTGGACTCCTGACCTCAGGTGATCCACCTGCCTCAGCCTCCCAAAGTGCTGGGATTACAGACATGAGCCACTGTGCCCGGCCCCTGTAACGTATTTCATAGTCCTAGTTGTACATATGAAGAATCTTGACAGGAAATGGGGTAAAGTAACTTTTCCCCAGGAGTAACGCATGCACACACACGTACATAATTTGATTCAGGGAAGATTTTATGACTACTGTCCGATCTATTTCCTGTATATATAATTAAAGCAAGTTATTTAAAGCAGAGATTTATTGCAATTAAATTGGAATACCTTTTAAAGTCAGTTATTTCCCTTGGCAAAGATAAATTATACCTTTTGTGACCCACCCACTTGGAGCAGGGTCCAAGGAATAAAAATTTTGACTGGCACTTGTCATTTATATAGACCTTTATGCATTGGTAGCACAAGTCTCTGTTTATTGAGGGATGCCAGAAGATCACCACCATCCAGGAACCAGTCCTCTAGATTGTCTGTTGTGGTATCCAAAACTCCCACTTGAGACACCACATTGGAGAGAGGCATGGTTCAGAAAGACCACCGTTAAAGTAGAAATTTGTCACGCTGGAGGAGCATCAAATTCCCATTTATAATCAATGACACATTAGTCCGTTTGGGTCTGTCATAAGCTAATAGAGATCTGGACCTTGGGAGGATAAGCCAGCGACATTCAAATAAGGTGAGTTAGAGTTCAGCATCATGAGATTCTGCTTCTAAGGAAGGGATGCTAGAGCAGAGAGATAGCCAAAAGATAACATTTAAACTTTGGAGAATTAGAGGAAACAGCATTGAAAGGCAAAGGGGATTGCTGGGTTTAGTAAAAAAATAAAAAAATAAAAAAAAAGCACTTCCTTCACGCTTTCCCTCTTTTGTTTTTTATGACTCTAGGATCCACCCAGTTGCTCAAGTAAAAAACCTGAGAGACACCTTACGCCATCTGGGAACTTGTTAGAAATTCTTAAACCTCATTCTATACCTGCTAAATCAGAAAATGTAGGGATTAAGTCTGATTATTTGTGTTTTCGCAAGTCATCCAGGTGATTCTGATGCATGGAAAGTTTGAGAACCACTGGTTTAGGTTATTAAAAGTTCTTGTCTCCCTATATCTTGTTTTGCAATATCATTGCATTCACCCCAGCCCCACAAAGCTACCATCTATTGACCGTTTTGTAGCTATTGAGCTTTTTGAAGCAAAAATATGAGCAAGTCAATTCTCTGCTTAAAACCTTTCAATAGATTTCTAGTGTCCTTAACATAGCCTACAGAGCCCTTCACAATCTGAGGTCCTCACATGTCTCCAGCCTCATCCCGAGCCACTCCCTTGTGAGGCCCTCTCCCATCATGCTAAACGGCTTCACATGGCCTCCAAAGGAAAGTGTGACACCTTGCCTCAGTACCTGCACATGTGCTGCTCCTTCAGCCTAGAATATTCTATTGCTACCCCTTCACTTTACAAGCTGGCCAAACCCTACTCATCTTCAGAATGCTGTTTAGACATTACCTGTTTACCAATCCCATCAACTAGTTGCCTCGTCTTCTAGGCCTCCACTGAGCCTTGCACCTACATCTGTTATAGGCACTTCTCATATTACTATAATTACTTAAATCTGTTACTCCTATTAATTTATGATCGCTTGGAGAACAGAAGTTGTATCTTTTTCATTCCATGTCAACAGCATACTTCAAAGTACCTGGTACATAGGTTGCCAAAAAATGATTTTTGAGAGTTGATATGGTTTGGCTTTGTGTCTCTACCCAAATCTCATCTTGAATTGTACTCCCATAATTCCCACATGTTGTGAGAGGGACCTGGTAGGAGATAACTTGAATCCTGGGGGTGGTTCCCCCATACTGTTCTCATGGTAGTGAATAAGTCTCAAAATATCTGATGGTTTTATCAGGGGTTTCTGCTTTTGCGTCTTCCTCATTTTCTCTCTTTGCCCACTGCCATCTATGTATGATATGACTTGCTCCTCCTTGCCTTCTGCCATGATTGTGAGGCTTCCCCAGCCACATGGAACTGTGAGTTCTTCATTAAACCTCTTTGCTTTGTAAATCGCCCAACCTCAGGTATGTCTTTATTAGGGTGAATGAAAAGCAAAGATAAACTTTGTTAAATCATGGATTTGCCTAAAACTAGTTTCATAAAAGCTGATTCTTAAGTATTCATTTGCCTTCTGTTTAATTAACTTTATTACCACTTTCAGCTTAGTCCTAGGAAATTAAAGTGCATAAATGAGGTAATTTCTAAGAGAAAGCCAGAGAAGTCTGTTCTGACTTTTCCTGTAGGAGGGGTGAAGGAATGCATCTATTAATCTTGAGAAGGGTAACTTACTCTGAGTATATGTGAATTTTTTTCACAAGAAAGGGTACTACTTACAATAAAGACTCTTTAAATGGAAATGTTTTCTTTGGAAAAAATTAGAGTAAAATAAGGGAGTAATCAAAATATATTAGAAAAACTTATTTTGAAGAGCTTAACCGTCTTTTTTCTAGCCCCAAAGCTACCAAAATACATACTACGCAATTGACATTGGAAAATGACAACTGTTTCCACTAGCCATTCTAATGAACCTGAAATGGCATGAATTTTCTCTTGCAGTTTATGTAATTATTCCACAATCTACTACAAATAGTATTTTCCAAGAAATATCATCAGCTCCACATTGCAAAAAAGGCCAGTGAATTCATTTTTAAGAAAATAAGGCTTTATGCTGTAAAAGATGAAAAAACGTGAGATTCTAATACAATTCTGGTTAAATTGATATTTAACCCTTTCTGCATTGCAATTTGACAGTGTATTTCAATAACCTTACAAATAATGGTCTTTTTTTAACCCCAAATTCCACTGCAAATAATCCATTCTAATGAAACAATCAGAAATGTAGATTAATTTTTGTGGACTAAAATTATTTTTTAAGTTAGATATCTCTAATTTTTTTAAAAAAATGAGGCCATTATAAGTTGCAACCTCAGAAAATGGTATTAAGAATTTTTCATGGAGAATATTCATGATATGTGAAAAGTTAAAACACTATGAATCCGATCCTTTCCTGATCCGGGAGCCAAGATGGCCGAATAGGAACAGCTCCAGTCTACAGCTCTCAGCGTGAGTGACGCAGAAGATGGGTGATTTCTGCATTTCCATCTGAGGTACCTGGTTCATCTCACTAGGGAGTGCCAGACAGTGGGCGCAGGACAGTGGGTGCAGCGCACCAAGCGCGAGCCAAAGTAGGGCGAGGCATTGCTTCACTCGGGAAGTGCAAGGGGTCAGGGAGTTCCCTTTCCTAGTCAAAGAAAGGGGTGAAAGACGGCACCTGGAAAATCGGGTCACTCCCACCCTAATACTGCGCTTTTCCGACAACAGGCTTAAAAAACAGCGCACCAGGAGATTATATCCCTCACATGGCTCGGAGGGTCCTACGCCCATGGAGTCTCCCTGATTGCTAGCACAGCAGTCTGAGATCAAACTGCAAGGTGGCAGCAAGGCTGGGGGAGGGGCGCCCGCCATTGCCCAGGCTTGCTTAGGTAAACAAAGCAGCCGGGAAGCTCGAACTGGGTGGAGCCCACCACAGCTCACAGAGGCCTGCCTGCCTCTGTAGGCTCCACCTCTGGGGGCAGGGCACAGACAAACAAAAAGACAGCGGTAACCTCTGCAGACTTAAATGTCCCTGTCTGACAGCTTTGAAAAGAGCAGTGGTTCTCCCAGCACGCAGCTGGAGATCTGAGAATGGGCAGACTGCCTCCTCAAGTGGGTCCCTGACCCCTGACCCCCGAGCAGCCTAACTGGGAGGCACCCGCCAGTAGGGGCAGACTGACACCTCACACGGCCGGGTACTCCTCTGAGACAAAACTTCCAGAGGAATGATCAGACAGCAGCATTCGCAGTTTACGAAAATCCGCTGTTCTGCAGCCACTGCTGCTGGTACCCAGGCAAACAGGGTCTGGAGTGGACCTCTAGCAAACTCCAACAGACCCGCAGCTGAGGGTCCTGTCTGTTAGAAGGAAAACTAACAAACAGAAAGGACATCCACACCAAAAACCCATCTGTACATCACCATCATCAAAGACCAAAGGTAGATAAAACGACAAAGATGGGGAAAAAACAGAACAGAAAAACTGGAAATTCTAAAAAGCAGAGCACCTCTCCTCCTCCAAAGGAACACAGCTCCTCACCAGCAACAGAACAAAGCTGGATGGAGAATGACTTTGACGAGTTGAGAGAAGAAGGCTTCAGACGATCAAACTACTCTGAGCTACAGGAGGAAATTCAAATCAAAGGCAAAGAAGTTGAAAACTTTGAAAAAAATGTAGACGAATATATAACTAGAATAACCAATACAGAGAAGTGCTTAAAGGAGCTGATGGAGCTGCAAGCCAAGGCTCGAGAACTACGTGAAGAATGCAGAAGCCTCAGGAGCCGACGCAATCAACTGGAAGAAAGGGTATCAGCAATGGAAAATGAAATGAATGAAATGAAGTGAGAAGGAAAATTTAGAGAAAAAAGAATAAAAAGAAATGAACAAAGCCTCCAAGAAATATGGGACTATGTGAAAAGACCAAATCTACCTCTGATTGGTGTACCTGAAAGTGATGGGGAGAATGGAACCAAGTTGGAAAACACTCTGCAGGATATTATCCAGGAGAACTTCCCCAATCTAGCAAGGCAGGCCAACATTCAAATTCAGGAAATACAGAGAATGCCACAAACATACTCCTCGAGAAGAGCAACTCCAAGACACATAATTGTCAGATTCACCAAAGTTGAAATGAAGAAAAAAATGTTAAGGGCAGCCAGAGAGAATGGTCGGGTAACCCACAAAGGGAAGCCCATCAGACTAACAGCGGATCTCTTGGCAGAAACTCTGCAAGCCAGAAGAGAGTTGGGCGGGGCGGGGGGGGCCAATATTCAACATTCTTAAAGAAAAGAATTTTCAACCCAGAATTTCATATCCAGCCAAACTAAGCTTCATAAGTGAAGGAGAAATAAAATCCTTTACAGACAAGCAAATGCTGAGAGATTTTGTCACCACCAGGCCTGCTCTAAAAGAGCTCCTGTAGGAAGCACTAAACATGGAAAGGAACAACCAGTACCAGCCACTGCAAAATCATGCCAAATTGTAAAGACCATCGAGGCTAGGAAGAAACTGCATCAACTAACGAGCAAAATAACCAGCTAACATCATAATGACAGGATCAAATTCACACATAACAATATTAACTTTAAATGTAAATGGACTAAATGCTCCAATTAAAAGACACAGACTGGCAAATTGGATAGAGTCAAGACCCATCAGTGTGCTGTATTCAGGAAACCCATCTCATGTGCAGAGACACACATAGGCTCAAAATAAAAGGATGGAGGAAGATCTACCAAGCAAATGGAAAACAAAAAAAGGCAGGGGTTGCAATCCTAGTCTCTGATAAAACAGACTGTAAACCAACAAAGATCAAAAGAGACAAAAAAGGCCATTACATAATGGTAAAGGGATCAATTCAACAAGAAGAGCTAACTATCCTAAATATATATGCACCCAATACAGGACCACCCAGATTCATAAAGCAAGTCCTGAGTGACCTACAAGGAGACTTAGACTCCCACACAATAATAATGGGAGACTTTAACACCCCACTGTCAACATTAGACAGATCAACGAGACAGAAAGTTAACAAGGATACCCAGGAATTGAACTCAGCTCTGCACCAAGCAGACCTAATAGACATCTACAGAACTCTCCACCCCAAATCAACAGAATATACATTTTTTTCAGCCCCACACCACACCTATTCCAAAATTGACCACATAGTTGGAAGTAAAGCTCTCCTCAGCAAATGTAAAAGATCAGAAATTATAACAAACTGTCTCTCAGACCACAGTGCAATCAAACTAGAACTCAGGATTAAGAAACTCACTAAAAACCACTCAACTACATGGAAACTGAACAACCTGCTCCTGAATGACTACTGGGTACATAACGAAATGAAGGCAGAAATAAAGATGTTCTTTGAAACCAACGAGAACAAAGACACAACATACCAGAATCTCTGGGACACACTCAAAGTAGTGTGTAGAGGGAAATTTATAGCACTAAATGCCCACAAGAGAAAGCAGGAAAGATCCAAAATTGACACCCTAACATCACAATTAAAAGAACTAGAAAAGCAAGAGCAAACACATTCAAAAGCTAGCAGAAGGCAAGAAATAACTAAAATCAGAGCAGAACTGAAGGAAACAGAGACACAAAAAACCCTTCAAAAAATTAATGAATCCAGGAGCTGATTTTTTGAAAGGATCAACAAAATTGATAGACCGCTAGCAAGACTAATAAAGAAGAAAAGAGAAGAATCAAATAGATGCAATAAAAAATGATAAAGGGGATATCACCACCGATCCCACAGAAATACAAACTATCATCAGAGAATACTACAAACACCTCTATGCAAATAAACTAGAAAATCTAGAAGAAATGGATAAATTCCTCGACACATACACCCTCCCAAGACTAAACCAGGAAGAAGTTGAATCTCTGAATAGACCAATAACAGGCTCTGAAATTGTGGCAATAATCAATAGCTTACCAACCAAAAAGAGTCCAGGACCAGATGGATTCACAGCCGAATTCTACCAGAGGTACAAGGAGGAACTGGTATCATTCCTTCTGAAACTATTCCAATCAATAGAAAAAGAGGGAATCCTCCCTAACTCATTTTATGAGGCCAGCATCATCCTGATACCAAAGCCTGGCACAGACACAACAAAAAAAGAGAATTTTAGACCAATATCCTTGATGAACATTGATGCAAAAATCCTCAATAAAATACTGGCAAACCGAATCCAGCAGCACATCAAAAAGCTTATCCACCATGATCAAGTGGGCTTCATCCCTGGGATGCAAGGCTGGTTCAGTATACACAAATCAATAAATGTAATCTAGCATATAAACAGAACCAAAGACAAAAACCACATGATTATCTCAATAGATGCAGAAAAGGCCTTTGACAAAATTCAACAACCTTCATGCTAAAAACTCTCAATAAATTAGGTATTGATGGGACGTATCTCAAAATAATAAGAGCTATCTATGACAAACCCACAGCCAATATCATACTGAATGGGCAAAAACTGGAAGCATTCCCTTTGAAAACTGGCACAAGACAGGGATTCCCTGTCTACTACTCCTATTCGACATAGTGTTGGAAGTTCTGGCCAGGGCAATTAGGCAGGAGAAGGAAATAAAGGGTATTCAATTAGGAAAAGAGGAAGTCAAATTGTCCCTGTTTGCAGATGACATGATTGTATATCTCAAAAACCCCATTGTGTCAGCCCAAAATCTCCTTAAGCTGATAAGCAACTTCAGCAAAGTCTCAGGATACAAAATCAATGTACAAAAATCACAAGCATTCTTATACACCAATAACAGACAAACAGAGAGCCAAATCATGAGTGAACTCCCATTCACAATTGCTTCAAAGAGAATAAAATACCTAGGAATCCAACTTACAAGGGACGTGAAGGACCTCTTCAAGGAGAACTACAAACCGCTGCTCAAGGAAATAAAAGAGGATACAAACAAATGGAAGAACATTCCATGCTCATGGGTAGGAAGAATCAATATCGTGAAAATGGCCATACTGCCCAAGGTAATTTATAGATTCAATGCCATCTCCATCAAGCTACCAATGACTTTCTTCACAGAATTGGAAAAAACTACTTTAAAGTTCATATGGAACCAAAAAAGAGCCCACATCACCAATTCAATCCTAAGCCAAAAGAACAAAGCTGGAGGCATCACACTACCTGACTTCAAACTATACTACAAGGCTACAGTAACCAAAACAGCATGGTACTGGTACCAAAACAGAGATATAGATCAATGGAACAGAACAGAGCCCTCAGAAATAACGCCACATATCTACAACTATCTGATCTTTGACAAACCTGAGAAAAACAAGCAATGGGGAAAGGAATCCCTATTTAATAAATGGTGCTGGGAAAACTGGCTAGCCATATGTAGAAAGCTGAAACTGGATCCCTTCCTTACACCTTATACGAAAATTAATTCAAGATGGATTAAAGACTTAAACGTTAGACCTAAAACCATAAAAACCCTAGAAGAAAACCTAGGCATTACCATTCAGGACATAGGCATGGGCAAGGACTTCATGTCTAAAACACCAAAAGCAATGGCAACAAAAGCCAAAATTGACAAATGGGATCTAATTAAACTAAAGAGCTTCTGCACAGCAAAAGAAACTACCATCAGAGTGAACAGGCAACCTATAAAATGGGAGAAAATTTTCACAACCTACTCATCTGACAAAGGGCTAATATCCAGAATCTACAATGAACTCAAACAAATTTACAAGAAAAAAACAACCCCATCAAAAAGTAGGCGAAGGACATGAACAGACACTTCTCAAAAGAAGACATTTATGCAGCCAAAAAACACATGAAAAAATGCTCACCATCACTGGCCATCAGAGAAATGCAAATCAAAACCACAATGAGATACCATCTCACACCAGTTAGAATGGCAATCATTAAAAAGTCAGGAAACAACAGGTGCTGGAGAGGATGTGCAGAAATAGGAACACTTTTACACTGTTGGTGGGACTGTAAACTAGTTCAACCATTGTGGAAGTCAGTGTGGCAATTCCTCAGGGATCTAGTACTAGAAATACCATTTGATCCAGCCATCCCATTACTGGGTATATACCCAAAGGACTATAAATCATGCTGCTATAAAGACACATGCACATGTATGTTTATTGCGGCACTATTCACAATAGCAAAGACTTGGAACCAACACAAATGTCCAACAGTGATCCACTGGATAACGAAAATGTGGCACATATACACCATGGAATACTATGCAGCCATAAAAAATGAGTTCATGTCCTTTGTAGGGACATGGATGAAATTGGAAATCATCATTCTCAGTAAACTGTCGCAAGAACAAAAAACCAAACACCGTATATTTTCACTCATAGGTGGGAATTGAACAATGAGAACACATGGACACAGGAAGGGGAACATCACACTCTGGGGACTGTTGTGGGGTGGGTGGAGCGGGGAGGGATAGCATTAGGAGATATACCTAATGCTAAATGACGAGTTAATGGGTGCGGCACACCAGCATGTCACATGTATACATATGTAACTAACCTGCACATTGTGCACATGTACCCTAAAACTTAAAGTATAATAATAATAAAATAAAATTTAAAAAAACACTATGAATCCATAATTGTTTTTAAATAAAAAGAATGCAACATTATATAAGTGTATATGTGTATTTGTGTGTTATCCATAGCAAAGAGACTGAAGGGAAACACACTAAAAATTAGCTGTTGTCACTTCTGAATTGTAGGATAATGGGCAAATTGGGCAAATAATTTTTGGCTTTCTAATGTTCCATAATTTTAATTTTTTATCATGAATATGTTTACTTTTAGAAATCAGAAAAAGAACTAAAGATAATTTTTTTAAAGAGTGAGGGCAGAATAAAGGCTATCCAGAACGATGGCCAAGTTCTCTAACAGTCTTCAGTGTGGATAGAAGAGCAAAAACTTCAACTTGCTTCTCTAATTCTTTTGTCTCCTCTCGTCTGTGTGGCATGGATTTGAAGGATAGGCTTCTGCTTCACCCCACAGATCCAAATTAAGTTTTAAATGAGACAATGACAAGAATAGTGACATCAAAGAGAAAACATTCAAATTCAACCATCTCCTCCTTTAGCAAATGCTAATGGTGTTGACTTTGACGGAGAGTATTAAATTCCTTTGATTCACAAATCCAACAATACATTTTTCCCCCCAACCTTCTCATTATAAGAAAGCTGCCTGTCCTCCCAGGCTTTAAGCATAAAACATCATAGCTAAACTTCTCTATCCACTTCTAAACCATTGTATAGTTTCTCAAGTTATATTTATATAATGTGCAAAGGGAGGAAAGGAACTGGCTAAACTAACAAATTTTACCTGTACTTTATAAAAACAAATGTAATCAAATTAGTAACATGTATTAAGACTCCTCTCTCTCATTTTTTCCCTCTTCATTTCTTTTACTTTATACCATTTCCTTTGCTACTACATTACATTGTGTAGTAACAGCAACACAGATTTATGTTCTCAAGAGAGTTAAACACCCACCTTTCTTTTTCAGTGGCAATGACTAAGTAAGGAAGTTACATTTTCCAAAAAAAATGTGAAGTTCAGTTCAGTTCTGCTCACAAATATACTTGAGTAAATATTTTTGTAAATATAAATTATTAAACAGTAACTTTTTAATACTGAAAAGTAATGAATAGACAGCATTAGAATTTGATGAGGGTTTTTGGTTTGTTTACCATATAGAAGGAAAACCAAATTAACTTTCCCTTCCTGAATAGTTGCTTTGAGTTAATTAAAAAACTGATCCAAATATGCAAACATTAGACTATTAGCACTAAAATAGCTTGTCATCCAGAGCTCTTCATTATAGTCTTTTCATTTGGGGTCACACAGTTGATCCATTATTACTTCTAATAAAAATTTAATTAAATACCAGCCAAGTCTTCTGCCATTTAGGTCCGGTCCGAGGATTAGGTAGCACTGGACAGACTAAAAAGTGCCATGGTAAACAGCGAATTCATGTAACGCTAATTAATTTCCATAAATCAAGTGTGGTCTAAGTGAAGCATGAATATTTTAAATGCAGTTTCAAAGGTCATGGCGTTTTATGGTTTTAAGAATTGATACCCTGGGACGAGCTTAATGTCAGCCTTTTTGAGAACTAGAAAATCCTCGATTTTGAAAGTCATTTAAATGTACTTTATCAGAAAAAGACTTTATTTGATTCAATTAGTCTATTTCTGTTTGCATTCAGTATTTATAGTTAAAATACAGCTGGGGGGCCGGTCATGTTCATTCAACCTTCAATGAAATAGTCATTGAGCACCTACTAGATGCTAGGTACAGATTAAGGTGTTTAGAATCTATGAGTGAACCAAATAGAAATGTGCCCTCATTCAGTTTATAGTCTGATAGAAAAAGCCAGACACTAAACAAAATAAATTATAATGTTAGAAGATAAGTAGTACAGAGAAAAATAGGGAAAGGAAATAGGGAGTTTGTGGCAGCAGATATGTAATTTTAAATGGAGAGGAGAAGCTGTATACCATGAGAATTGTTGAGTTGGCAGTGAATTCATAGCAGGACAGAGCAATCAAGACAGGGATGATCCCAGGGAAACAGATGCCCAGGGAACCAGGCCAGCTCCATGTGCTGACCGAGAAGTTCAATCTACCCAGGTAGTCTAAAGATAAGTGACAGTGCCCAGGCACCCAACTTTCTTTCTGAGCCATGAGTCTAGATCATAAAAGAAAAATGTCAAGAGCAAGGCAGGACATGGGCCTATAAGCAGATGGAGATAATTTCTAGAATTCAGCAACAGGAACCGTAGTTGAAGCTCAGGTACACAGGTTAAGAGGAAAGAGCCAGGAAGAATCTTCAGGGAACAAAATGGAACCCCTGTTTCTGGACCACTTAAGCAGCCAAGGCACTAGATTAGAGACTAAGATGTTTGCTGCTTCCTACTAGGGATCAGGATTGGGCTTGTGGCTGGGATTCAAGGATGCAGGGGAGGAAGGATGCTGAAGCTGGTACCATGACTGGCCTAGAAGGCGTAGCCAGGGAGCAACCTTTGCTTGGGTCTCAAGAAATTGTGATGAGGTTACTTTTGGTTCCTCTGCTCAGTGCAGGGACTGAATCTATTCCCCTTTGATTGTCATCCTTGGTGAGCCAGAATATTACAGATCTGACCAAGACTCCTACCCTAGAACTCCCTAGATTACCCTAATTATCAAGAGGAAAGTTATTGAGTCATATGAGACTAGTGATTCTTTTCTGTGGGTCCTCCTTAGCTCTAGTGTTGAGAGGCTGGACTCCAATAAAGGACTGAGCAGAAGACTGCTTTCTGTAGCACTTTGCAGGTTAGACAATGCAAATTCATGACACTACAGTGAACTTAATTGCTGTAAAACAGTGTTTCTTACCCTCAGCACTCTCGACATTCTCTGCCAGATAATTCTTTTTTTGTGTAGAAGTAGAATACTGACTTGTGTGCATTGTATTAATACAATGTTTAGTAGTACCCCTGGCCTCTATCCAACAAATGCCAATAGCACTCACTCCTCTAGTAGTGACAATCAAAAATGTCTCCAAACATTACAAAAGTTCCCTGGGGCAGGGTCACCCTCAGCTGACAACTACTTTTGTAAAGGTTTTTTTAAGTATATTTCAAAGACTTTTAAGAAGTTATACAATATCTTGCATAACAAAAATATTCATATAACAAAACTAGGCACTAACTGATGACTCAACAGTTAGTAAAGTGTAGTTTCAAAGCTTTCTATAATAATTTTTAAAAAGTAGTGTGTGTTTTGGAAGCAACTTACTTATTTTTATTTTCTGAGACAGGGTCTTACTCTGTCACCCAGGCTGGAGTGCAGTAACATGACCACAGCTCACTGCAGCCTTGACCTCCCAGGCTCAAGCAATCCTCCCACCTCAGTCTCCTGAGTAGCCGGGAGCACAGGCACACACCACCACACCCAGCTAATTTTAAATTATTATTATTTGCAGAGACAGGGTCTCCCTATGTTGCCGAGGTTGGTCTCGAACTTAAGGGATCCTCCAGCCTCAGCCTTCCAGAGTGTTGATATTATAGGTGTGAGCAGAAACTATTTAAGTTATTACATTAGAACATAATGAAATTGTTTAGGAAATGCATCAAGCAGAGGGCAACAGTGCCAGATCTCAGTATCTGTAAATCACCAACAGGGCTGGGAGCTGCCCATGGGGGCTTGATGCTGATCTTGTGGTAGGAATGGGAGTAGATTCAGATCATCAGCTTCAGCTTTAGAAACTTACAAACATGGAATCACAAAAGCCGAATTTGAAGCCTTCTAAAAATCCAGGCCTCAATATTCCTATATTTCGATATCTCTTGGTAGCTACATTTTTTTCTCCACATTTAGTTTGTATCCAGGGCATATTTTCTAGACTTACTTGCATCCACAGGTTCCATTCCACTTTAAAGTTACCATAGCCTCTGGCAAACTTTTATGTTTTCCTCTGTATTAAGCAGCATTTGGCATTATACCGCCTAGAGGGACCGAGAAGATATTTAGAGGCTAGGTGGCAAGAGAGAAGGCTCATATTTGTGAGATAAAGCACTGGGGAATTGTCCTGTCAAAGGAGTAAAGAGGACATTCTTGAGATAAAATCCTGTTAAGAAGCAGAGTAATTTTATGCTTTGAGGAAGTAAAAATGTATTTGTTTGTTCTTTTGTTTATAAAAATATTTGGTGGGCTTTCTAGTTGATTACTCATCATCTTTATTAAGTAATTATCCTTCATCTTCACTTATCATGAGTAATTACAATGACAAATACAGGGTATTTTTTTCTAAACCACCAGCTTATCGCATTGTAAAAGGTGCTTTATTAATACAAAGGATGAATAACTGAGTCAAATATTTGTTTCAGGTTGTTACAATTGTAGGTTTCTTATATCTTTCCTGCATTTAAAAAATAATTTTATAATCAATTTATAACCACTTCCCTTAGTTACATCTACTTCTCTCAGTTATAAGAGCAATATCAATAAAGGGCTCACAATTGACAAAGTGTTTTTACAACTGTTTTTTATGATTTGAATAATCACCCTGTGATACAAGGCATACTTATAATTCATTTTAACAGATAAAGTGACTAGGTTCAGATTAATTGACTTTAATAAAATCTTTTCTTATGATTTCAACCATCTGATCAAGACAAGCAGGCTATTGTCAGCCTTTGGTGTTTGTGCAGTATCGATAGGAGAAAGACTACAGCATTGCTCTGTAAACACCTAAAATTTACTATCCAAGGAACTGATGTATTCAATTTTGCCAGAAACTTATTTTTGAAGCACAATATATAGGGCATATGGATCAATTGCACCGAATGTGTTTGTCATACTAGAAAAAAGTCAGATTCATTGCTAAAGTGATGAGAAAAGTGCCTTATTCAAATGATGACATATCATAGATATTCAATCATCTTCTTTTTGGAAAATTGACTACAAAATTGAAGAATTCGTATTCTGTTGTGGCAAGTGAAATACATTTCATGAGGGACATGTTATAAAGTCCTTGCCTCTTCTCAGTGCTGTGTGCATGTGTGTGTGCTCCCAAGCATAAGCTAAGATATCTTTATGGTCTGATGCTTATCCATATGTATGTTAATAATAAATAAGCTTAGACAATTATGATTAAGAATATAGCCTCTGGAGCCTTACTATTCTGTTTGTAACCCAAGCTCCTCTACTCACTAGCTGTATGACCTTGGTCAAGTTAATTGACTTCTCTGGATCTCAATTTCCTCACCTGTAAAATGTAGGGATAATAGTGTCTACCTCAAAGTCATGGTGAGCATTAGGTGAACTAATATTGCAAAGCACTTAGAACAATACTTTGTATGTACTAAGCACAGCATATTAGCTATTGTTATTATTACCTGGTATCCATGGCAGTCATAGTTAAACATCTCATCAGGTCAGTACACCTTTATAAGGAAATGGGATGAACATGGTAACCTCAGATAAATTATCTTCATAGGAAACTTCCAGTTTGAATAAAGCATGTTAATGAGAAAGCATTTTACCACTTTTCCTAAAGAAACTGTGGTTTCCTGAAGGAATGGTCTTCAATAGTTGAATTGAGGTACCTTGGCAAAAATGGAATTAGATAGAGATTTTCTACTGGGGATCCTGATGTGGAAAAGAAAAAGCAAAAGTAAACTGTATGTGTTTCTTTAATCTTGTGTTCCATTTCCAATGGAAGTTGGTGGTTGAATCAGAATGTGGTTGGGGAAACAGTGTTAAGAATTCCTTAGGTATTCCTCTTACAGTGTTGAAATGGCACTGGTAAACCCCTGCCATTTGCTTGTACTTTTCTGTGTGGGATAAGATTTTTTTATCATTTTTTCTACCAAAACAGAGGCCAGAAGCTAATGGGAGGGCACGTTTTCTCATTTTGTGGACATCACGGTAGAAAAGCTACCACAAAGAGATGCACAAAGCTGGTTAGATTTTGAAAACGAGAAAATGTTCAAGTATCCTCAATATCATACAACATGCTACTACTTTCACTATCTTTCACGACATCGTTTTACCATAGAGAAACAAAAGAACAGTCCTCTTTTTAACAGTTTATTTTTGTTGTTATTTTGTTTTTGTTTTTTGAGACAGAGTCTCGCTCTGTTGCCCAGGCTGGAGTGCAGTGGCACAATCTCAGCTCACTGCAACCTCCGCCTCCCACGTTCAAGCGATTCTCCTGCCTCAGCCTCCTGAGTAGCTGGGATTACAGGCACCCAGCACCACCGGCTAATTTTTGTATTTTTAGTAAGGACAGGGTTTTATCATGCTGGCCAGGCTGGTCTCAAACTCCTGGCCTTAAGTGATCCACCCACCTCTGCCTCCCAAAGTGCTGGGATTACGGGGACAAGCCACTCTGCCCACAGGTTTTTTTGTTTGGTTTGGTTTGTTGCTGTTGTTTGAGAAGGAGTTTTACTCTTGTTGCCCAGGCTGGAGTGCAATGGCACAATCTCTGCTCACTGCAACCTCTGCCTCCCAGGTTCAAGTGATTCTCCTGTCTCAGCCTCCTGAGTAGCTGGGATTACAGGCATGCATCACCATACCTGGCTAATTTTACATTTTTAGTAGAGACAGGATTTCACCCTATTGGTCAGGCTGGTCTTGAACTCCTGAGCTCAGGTGATCCGCCTGCCTCGGCCTCCCAAAGTGCTGAGATTACAGCATGAGCCACTGTGCCTGGCCAACAATTTTTGATAAGAGATTGAGAACGAATGTTAAGGAAAGTAGGGAGGGGTGGTAAAAGCTGCGGTTCAGACTAAGCAACTGCCCACAGAGTAGCTTTTCAACATAGATGCAGAGTACTGTTGGCAATTTAATCCAGATAAATTGTTTTTATGTCTTTTTCACTATTCTTTTCTTTTTTAAAGTTCCATGTGTTAGTTTCCCCACATGAAAATGTATAGAAGTTTTTATGTGCCCACGTGTTAATACTGAAACTGACAACCATTGTAATTTCTCAGAATCAGAAATAGGGACATTTCTAAGATATGCATGTTTCAATAAAACTACCCATCAATACTTCCCAAGTTCATCATGACTTGAGTTTCTTGTGCTTCACAAACATCTCCAATAAAAAGTATTTGTTGTGTATGACATAGATCTCCATACTCTAAGGTTTTTTTTATTCTCACTGCATTAGAATAGAGAGTGCTTTGATTTGTGAATTATGATTTACAGTTTTCCAATTCATGAGACACTTATAAAGTCCCAGTTTTTAATGATCACTTATTTTCTAGTTGCCTAGCACTATGCCCGACTTTGTGAATTTTATAAAAAGGAGATATGATCCCTGCAACATACATGCTAAATGGCTTTTTGTCAACTATGTTCTCTGAAATCAGGGATGCAAAGCACCAACATGAATTAGAAAATATGGACAAGTTTCTATGCTCTTTTATCCTCTTCTGTTAATCTCTAAAGTTTCTTCAGCAATTCATTCATTGATCCCACAATTATCTGTTAAATGTTTACTATGTGCCAAGTTTGATGCTAGGTGCTGGGAATACAATGATGAGCAAAAACAAATGTGTTCCTTGCTGTAATAAAGCTTCCATATTCAACAATTCTAATGTGACAGATGGAAATTATTGAATAATCTATGCAAGTGTAAAGTTCCTACTGAAACAAGAAATATGAGAATAATGGTACCATACTAGTCTAAAATAGGAGATTTTTCCAACATCCGATGTGATCTGTGATTATTTCTCCCTATTTACTCTTAAATGGGGCAAGACCTATGCATGCTCTATTCATCAGCAGAAGTGTGACTTGCTCTTGGCCAACTTTTCAGAGCTACAGCTTGAAAGCAGACGTACACAGCCCCAAGTCCAGTCCCTAGTTAGCAGGCTTCCTACTAGAGCTCCTCAGCTCCAAGGAACTAGCATCTGCTGTCCTCACTGTGTGGCTCATTGGTACTCTATAGAGCGTGCACAAAGCTGCTATAGCCAGCAGCAGCCACGCTCTCCAGAACACGTGGATCTAGTCCTCTTGGAATGCGAAATGCCCATGCCTGTGCCCCTGCCACCTCCTGTTGAGTTCTTGTCCAGGAGTCTCTCTGTAAATACATTTAGGAAAAAAAAAGGTAAGAGAGGAGAGTCTTCAGCCAATTCAGAGCGAACTCATCCAGTGGGGAGACAGAAGCCTTGTTTTCTGGGGAGTCTAAATCCTGGATCTCAGAGTCAGGGGCCTGATAGTATGAAAGAAAGAAAGCCTTTCCCTAGATTTTCTCCTGCCGTCTCTGTAGTCTCTGTCTTCTGAGGAGAAGCTTGAGTTTTCCATGAGGTAAAAGTGTGTGTGTGTGTGCGTGCATGTGTGCATGCGCAAGTGTGTGTATGTGTGTGAGAAAAAGAGAGAGATTAAACATACTCCATATGAAGGTTATCAACAGTGGACCCCTCTCACTCATCCTCCCTTCAGTTTGGTGTCATTTGGCCAACTTTCCATCTTTTTTCACTGTCGTCATGTATGATTTTAGTGGACAATGAGAGATGATCCATCAGAGGCTGTCAGCAAAGTGCCTTTTTGACTGGAGAATTACACATTTATAATTTAGTATGCAACATTTGGCCTTCAGTTTTGAGGCTCTACCCAAGGTCTCAGACTTTCCGGGCCTAAAAGGAACATGGTCCTTCCTTTGCTCACCCCACCAACCTCTGCTAATTGTTACTCTGTTGCATGCATCTAGGCTTCCTAATGAAGGTCTGCTGTGTGGACAGCACTGAGCAGTCTGGTTCTGTACTTTTCCCAGTTCTGAAGGGATCCTGGAATGAGGCCTGTTATTGTTTGTCAGTAGACCAATTACTGGTGGCTTTGAAGATCTCCTTCATGCACGTTTCCTGGTTCTGTCACTGTTTCTACTACATTCTTGGTGGAGTCAAGTGCTGGAGTCCTGTGCTGAGTCCATAGCAGGAATAGGGTCACAGAATTTCACTCCATGTCCTAAACTACTAGGGATCAAAGATCCTAACTTGTCCAAAGACATCCTATCTGAGATCAGATGGGGTCCAGGTAAAACCCTGAGAAAAAAGTGAGAGACTTTAACACCTTCATCATCCTCTTTCTTTATCCTTTGTTTAGCCCAGTGTGCATCAGTTATGTTCTTTTAGGTCACAAAGAGCTCAGGTTTCCTTAGACAATCCATGTTACTGGGACCTGATCATGGCCATCACCAGCAGACACCAATTTTTTTTGTCCTTCCAAGCCTCTTCTCAACTAATTTGACCCTTCCTTGGCCATTGCTAATGCAGTTACCCTATGCTGTGGTGCCAAGCTGGATGTGAAACTTCTCTAAGATGTTTGTGGGGTTCCCAATCTACACCCCAGCAGGAACACGATGCCCTTTGTCCACATTTACAAAAAACCCTTCTGGAGATTTGTATTTCCCAGCCCCTGAGGCTTGACACCAGCCTGAGGCGGGGAGCCTGTAAGTACCTCTTTACTTCTGTAATCAGAACAGGCAGGGCTTCAGCTCCTCCTGTGACACCCACATCTGCTTCCTCACCTGCTCTGCAGCTGATTTCAGAAACTTTGTAAGACTGTCTCGCCCTCCAGGTTGTAGCTCTTGATCTTCCAAACCAAGCATATTCAGAATTCTGAACACAGCCACAGCAATCACAACAAGGACATAGCTCTGGCAAATAAAAAGTGCTTTACTTCTGGACTTTTGTGTCTGTTGTAAATTGGAAAATCCATTCAGAAACATAATTGGCTTTGGCTTCTCTGAAGTAAGAAACAACACAGATGGAGCAGAGCCTTAAGATAAATAGAACCATCTGAGGGGTGTGGGGTTACAGAAATGAAAAATATCTATTAAAAAATATGATCTCACCTGAAGAATTTTAGACTCCAAGCCAAGATACAGAGACATTTTTAAAACATCTTCAAATCATACCTTGCAATACTGGAGACCAAATGGTGTTTCATCTGACTCTAAGGGCAAAAGTAGCTGTTTTTAGCTTCTGAGGCTTGTAAAAATACACACAAGGAGCGTAGGGTGAAGTAAGAGAGAGATGGCTTGAGTTCCTTTGGAAAAGCCCTGTATGATCTGACATGGTCTGTGAGTTACCAGTGCAGGTTCCACCGCGCTTTGTTGGTGTGGCCTGCATGGGGCAGGTGGGCTTCCCAGGCTGATGCGGTACTTCCTGAAGCTGGATCAAATGCACCAGAATGAAGTGGTTGGACAGCGGATGCTCCTGAAGCCAGCAGAAGAAACAGACACAATCCACAGAAGGCAGAGAGAAGAAGAGAAGCTACTTTCAGCCTTGGCATACAGGACAATGGTGTGGAGAGCTGGCCACCATACAATCGCTGTGACCACAGAGCTGGCACTGACCCAAGGAACCTAGAAATCCTCTGCCAAAGAAAGAATAAAACCTGCCCTAATTGGAAACACTTCTGACAAAATGCCAAAGGGAGATCCTGCCACTTTTCCTTTTTCAGATCGTAAATCACCCTAGTTTCCTGGAAAAGTTATGTCTGGACAGACTTATTGCCCCTTGAAAGACCCAGCAACCTGGTCTTTGAAAATCTTGCTGGAAGATGTAGAAAATCTCCAACCATTCAGACTTCCAGTACCTGGGGGTGAAAACTGCCTCGGATGATCAATGAATGCCTGCTCTCAGAGGTCAGACCCAATGAGTATGAGCCAGCAGAAGCTTAAGAGCTAGTTCTCATTATGATAAAGCACATTCTGGCAAGGCCACAAAAAGAAAGATGATGGCAATCAGCACAGATACAAATGAAAACCAGACGAAGGTTTCAGCCAAACTAGTCTTCACTTCTGCTATAATGGATTAATTTTTGGGTGCTGAAGTCAGCACAATTTGCAGATTCAGAACACTGAATACGGGAGTCAAAATTGGGTAGACATTTAGTTGAAACTATAGCAGACTCTTGACATTTACAAGGGTTAATGCTGCCTCTCGCACTTGTCAACTTCTACCTTCAATTGCATATAATACATCTTCATCTCTTCAACCCACTTATAGCTCTACACAGCCTTTCTCAGTGCATAGATGTAATATACAGGCCTTGAAATAACTCACAGCAAAGCTTTCTGTAAGGAAACCTCTGCATGTTCAAGCTTGTTGGGGCTAATCCTCTGGAATTTACCAGAGAACAAATAAAATCCAGGAAGTATAGCCTACTCACAGGGTTTTCAGACCAACAGCAAAACCAGAATAATGCACCCTTCCCCACCAAAGGATGATCATGTCCCTGGAAACTGAATGTTACCTTACATGGCAAAAGGGAATGCAGGTGTGGTTGAAGTTGTGATAGGGAGACTATCCTGGATTATCCAGATATAATCACAAGGGTCCTTATAAGAGACAGGCAGGAGGCTCAGAGTCAGAGGAGATACAACAGTGAAGGCAGAAGTTGGAATGATGTGAAGTGCTGGAAAGAGGCCATAAGATAAGGAATGAAGGCAACTTCTAGAACACATGGAAAAGGAAAGATGTGGATTATACCCTGAGCACTTAGAAGGAACACAGCCCTGCCAATGCTTTGAGTTTAGCTTAGTGGAACCTATTGTAGGCTTCTGAATTCCAGAATACAGAAGTCTGAAGGGGATACATTTGTGTTGTAAGCCCCTCGGTTTGTGGTAATTTGTTATAGCAGCAATAGGAGGCTATTGGTCAACAACATTTGTTTTTAACACTTTTCCTTTATTCTCATTTTCTGTTTCCAACATCAAATGAAACTCCAATTCAAGCAAAGTTTCTAGAATAATTTTTTTAAAAGACAATTCCATAAGATCCTCCTTTACTCTCACCTGCCATGTTGTAAATAACTCCTCCCAAGATGATTTACATTTCCAAGTAGAATCAGGGAGAAGGTATTTCGTATAGAAGGAGAGAGAACTGATGTTGATTAATTACGTAGACACCATAGCAAGTATTTTGCACGTAGATTATTCTCTTTTCCCCAAACTACCCCCTACTCCATTTTGCAGCAAAGGTAACCAAGATTCAAGAAAGATAAATAACTTATACTCTGAATGAGTCACCACTGATGTGTCTATATGACTCCAAAATTCAAATTATTTTCGTTAGACTGTGCTTTTTCTAAACTACCGATACAAAACCATAAAGTCCTAACAGTAGAATGTCTACATCAATTTGGAAGAAATGGTGATTTGGGAAGCAGGTACCACTCCTGGAAAGATACTCCGGGGAGTACTTAGAATCATTTTGATAGGTCATCATGGACTCTCACCGCTGTTTTCTCTTAGGAGAAAAATGCAATTGACAGAGTATGTTACCATTCCTAATGATTTTAAATCTTCTTATAGGGGTGTTTGCATTTGGACTTTTTGCTACTGACATTTTTGTAAACGCCGGACAAGTGGTCACTGGGCACTTAACGCCATACTTCCTGACTGTGTGCAAGCCAAACTACACCAGTGCAGACTGCCAAGCGCACCACCAGTTTATAAACAATGGGAACATTTGTACTGGGGACCTGGAAGTGATAGAAAAGGCTCGGAGATCCTTTCCCTCCAAACACGCTGCTCTGAGCATTTACTCCGCCTTATATGCCACGGTGAGTGTGCAAGTCTTGTCTCTCCTAAGTCCAGTTTTTGATAGGATGTGTGTCTCCCTGCCCTGTCTCCATTCTTTCATTGTCACTTATAGCGACTCTTAAATTTATGTATGGCATATTTCTCTACATTATGCTATTGATATACTAGCCCCCCCACACACACACTTCTACCCCACTTTCAATCTCCTGATCTGCCAGAGGATATTAGTTCTGGAATGTTTTGATAATCACCTAATTACATCCTCCCATTTACAGATGTGAAAGCAGGGTCCCACAGTATAGCTAAGATCATACAACCAGAGCAGGGACCCAGACTCCTGGTACTGTGTCTGAGATTTTCTTACCTCCCACAACAGTACTCTTTGTCAAGGTTTTCGTTGGTTTCGGAACAGCACACCTTCTCACACCTGCCTAGAAATTTGCAAGCATGGGCCTTATATGAATGACTGCTCCAACAACATGCAGACCCAGGATACACAGCTTTCCTTTGCTCTGGCACTTTTCTCCATGACTTTGCTAGGAGACAGGGATGATCCTAGAAAAACCTCAACACCCCAGAGTATGTTTCTCATTGTCCCCCAGATCGCACAGCCATTGACTGCCCCACTGGGGTATAATTTTCTCTGGTTTTCTTTTTGTTCTAGTAACAGAAAAACCAAAGTATGTCCCACATCTTAAAGAACAATGGTGTCTCTCTTATTTTCCAACTTTTTAACTGTATTCATTTTGGAAATAACTTCATTTCACTCTTGTCTGGCTTATGCATTCTTAGGACCCAGAATATAGACATGCAGAGATCAGCTCAAAGGCTCCACGGGCTGATACGATATTGCTGGTGGACATCAGGTGCATTTACCAGTGGCAGAGCAACTGTTGGCCCAAAACACCCCCTTTCCTTACTTCAACTTATTTTATATTCAGAATATGACTAGTCTGGTAATTCTCAATGGAAAGTGTGGGAATGGAAAAGACAGAAGGAAGCCTCCTTTCAAACTGTCCATTCTTCCCAAACATCTGAGTATGCCCTCAACCCACCCCCCAGGGAGATGCTACCCTTCCTGTCACTGAGTGTAATTGCAGGAGGCATGTTCTGCCTCTGCGGGAAGAAAACGGGTCTGTGCCTTCACCCCTAGGGTGGAAAAAAGGCAAAAACTCATATGGGTTTCTTATACCCCAAATGATTCTTTAATTTGTCACATAAAAACTGCATGTTCTGAATCTAATAATTAATACACAGTCATTCTTTGTGACTATGGGTCTGATCTATTTATTTAAAACAACCAGGAGCAGATAGTGCCTTTGTGTCCCATTTACAGGATCACATCGATAGGGTTATTTTGTCAACCACCAACTATGTGACATGAGTATGTGAAAAAAAGGACTTCAGCTGTCCCCACATTAAAGAAACAAGGATGCAAATAACACAGAAGCCTCAATTTACAAAACAGATTATAGCTCAGTTAAATGTCTTTGCTTTATCAAAAACAAAACCAAACCAAAAAACCTCTATGCAGGTATTTTTTTTAAACAAATAAAGCCCTCTGAAGTATCCAACATATTTTCAAATTTTCAGAATGTTGATTTTTCCTAATTATCTAGAACCTAAACAATGTATTCTTGTGCCTTTTCCTGTATTTTTTATCAGACTCAAGTCATTGCTGTGTGAAATTAATTTTTATAGTACCATTATAAAAATTATTCTGTTACTTATAATAAACTACTGTCTCAACAAATGAGATACGAAGTTCTTTGGGCAAGAAAGAAGTAAATATCATCAGCTCACACAGAATAAATGTGACTATAACATGTTCTCAAGGATTCAGATGTTATCCAATTCAAATCATGCCTCACAGACTATAGTCAGATAAACCCTGATATAAGATTCCAATTGCATAAATCTTCTGAGCCGCTATTACATGTCAAATGCTTTCAGAAATTACTCAACAAGGATTTCCTAAGTACTGGTTAATACTATGAAGAATACCAACTAACCATAGGCTCATGCTTTTAATAGTTTTTAATCTTTCTTATAGGAAAGATTTATGACAGATATAATTGGAAAACATAATAGCATGAACAACTGAATATATGCAGCATAGGTTTTAAGTAACATTTACCAGAGTCTGAAAATAGTGTAATAATATGCTGTAATTTATGTAACTGTGATGTAACCAGTTTTATAGGGAATCTGTTATATAGAAGAGATTCCTATCTTCTGGTATTCTCACCAGTGTTGAGGTATCATTCTAGAATATTAAGAATTTCTATTGTAATACTGTAAAATGCGTCTATTTTAACTTATATGTGCTCAGGCCATATACACATACTATATAAGTATCAGCATATTATTTTTTAGAATTGCTAAGCTCACATAGCACATTTGTTAAGAAATGATAGACCAATGGTGCCCTCTAGTGGTGTTTTGTAACTACTACCAAAGGTTAGCTAAAAAAGTGTACTTACATGAAAAAGGCATGGCTTCCTAACTCTAAACCACCAGGGACACATTTGCTAACTGAACCTGTAAAACGTCAGAGTCTTACCCAGCACCTCACAACAAACTAATAACAGCCGCCTACATCTCAGGTGTCATAACGTGTATCATCTTTTACTTAGCTCAGGTCTTCTTGACCTTTTGTATCTTGTGGAACACACAGAAAATTTTAATATTTTAAGAAACAGTGGAGTAAATGAATGAATAAAGCTGATCACAGCTGTCCTGAGGAATGTATGAGTCAATTTACTAGCACAGCTGAAACCTATTTATGTGATGCAGTTGTTGGGAGGTTCTAATTCAGCCTATCAACTAACTCATCAGTCAACACTTTGTTGGTATTAATCACCTGAAGGTGTGACAAAGCAACTAGGAACTTTTGGGGACACAAAAAATAAAATGTACGGTCACTTACAGTCACTCTCCTACCTGGTCTTCTCCACCAAAAGCTTCATTCCCATAGAAGGTTTATTTGGTATCTCAGACTCTCATATGGATTTCTTATACCCCAAATGATATTTAAACTTGTCACATAAAAACTGCATGTTCTGAATCTAATCGTTAATGCGTTCTTTGTGTCACTAATAACTTCTGTTGACATGTCCACTAGATTACAAAAGACTGAAGAATGTACATCTGTTCATTGTTCTTGCTGCACTGATTTCCTACCTAAATAATTTATTAAATATCTTAATGGAGTTGTTCAAGGAATACTAGTTAGTGTGGTTGCTTTGACACAAGCCCCTGCTTGTGTATGCTGGTGTATGTACCTGCTTGCTTGCATGTGTACTCATAGCACAAGGCAGCTGCCTGGTCACTCCCTGGCCTCTGTCCTATTCCAGATGTATATTACAAGCACAATCAAGACGAAGAGCAGTCGACTGGCCAAGCCGGTGCTGTGCCTCGGAACTCTCTGCACAGCCTTCCTGACAGGCCTCAACCGGGTCTCTGAGTATCGGAACCACTGCTCGGACGTGATTGCTGGTTTCATCCTGGGCACTGCAGTGGCCCTGTTTCTGGTAGGTTGACTTCCCTCTTTTTACCTTTTCCCCCTCTTCTACTCTCTGAAAAACTGTGAGTCAGGTTTCCCAGACTTCACCATCTGTGTTCCTTTCGTCCCAACCTTGTGAATTACAATTATTCTCCAAGTATTATACATGCTTTTGCTACAAAAATGATTTCAAAACACTCTTTCCTTTCAGAAACTGGATTGCCAAATTCCTTCTGGGTGGCAGGGAGAGAATTGCCCCTAGAAGTACAGCTGGCTCTACCCCTTTCAACACTGGGCTTGGGACTGGGGCCAAGCAGACTAATGATAAATTGGCACACCTTCAAACCAATCTTCTCTAAGTATTTGTTCTCAGCATATTGGGGGCAAAAGCTAAGTGTTCCTTGAGGGAAGAATAGAGAATGAAGAGCACTGGTAGAAGCAAGCAGCCTCTTCTCCAGCATCCCAAGAAACTCAACTCTAATTCCAAAGTTGCATCTCCTACTCGGAAATTTTAAAAACCCTGCAGATGATCACACCCGCCCTTTTTAGTGGGCCTCTGTTACTATTGGAACATGCCTCTTGGGAATCTTACTTCCGCTAAACTGGCTTCTCAACCACCTATCTTCCTGGAGAAGAGTTTTGGTTAATACATTTTTCTTGTATTTCTGATTATGTTTTAGTTCCCCAAATAGATGGAGGTCTGGCCACCTGCTCACCTAGGAAATCCCTTAAATTGAGTTGGAGTTGATAAAAAGAGGTTAATTTTTATTCTTTTTGCCTTCTCTTTCACGGTTGTATTGAAGTATAATAGGTATACAATAAATGACACATCAAGTATACAATTTGATCAATTTTGGCATACAACTTTCTCACCCTTCCTTTTCCCTTATCCCCAGGCAACTGGTGATCTTCTGTCATTCTATATTAGTTTGCCTTTTCTACGATTTCATATTAATTGAATCATAATGTATTTTTTCAGGTATCTTTCACCTAGCATAATTATTTTGAGATTCATCTATGTTGTAGAATGTATCCATAATTCCTTTTTATTGCTGTGTAGTATTCCATTGCATGGTCACACCTCAGAGATGCAGATTTCTATTATCTTCAAGGACTTAAAACAGGCCCAGAAAAATTTATGATGAATCATCAGGCCTGGAGACTTATACTGTGCATGAAATGAATCCCCTAACAATGTTCAGGAAGCCTCCCCAAGGAGAAAGAAGCCATCACAGTCTTGTAGGACCTCCCTCCTCCTATTCTGCCCTCTCTGGTCCAAGATCCATTTGGATTGGCATCACACATAGCTGGATTTCAGTCATAGGACTTAACACACTTCCTTTTCCTAGCCCCTCTTCCTTCCCTCCCCAATATGCAAAATACACACATGCCTCTCCCAGCCTCTAACTTGGTTTTCCAACTTGTAAAAAATCTAAGATACAGACAATGCTCACATTCAGAACATTGATTGGGAAGCTTCTTTCTAATTCAAAATGACAGGCATATCTCAGAGATAATGCAGCTTTGGTTCCAGACCATTGCAACAGTGAATATCACAGTAAAGCTAGGCACACAATTTTTTGGTTTCCCAGTGCATATAAAAAGTTATGTTTACATTATTCTGTAGTCTATTAAGTGTGCAATAGCATTATGTCTAAAAAAAAAAAAACCAATGCAGTTACCTTAATTTAAAAGCACTTTATGGCTTTAAAAAAGTGTTGACGCAGACACAAAGTGAGCATGTGCTGTTGAAAAAATGGTGCCAATAGACTTGCTGGACAGTGTTGTCAAAAAGCTTCAATTTAAAAAAAAAAAAAATATCTGCAACATGCAATAAAGTGAAGAGAAATAAAACAAAAATGTGCCAGTATTTTGAATGGATCCAGGCATTCTTCCTATAGTGAAAGATGAAAAACTAAAATGCAAATACTCTGGATGAAGTTGCAGGAAAAGCAGTGCTGAAGTCATCATAAAATCTTGATATCTCATTAGGAACTTTCCTGAGGAACGCCTTTTAAAAACATTTTATGGATACATAGAAGTTACACATGTTTCGGGGGTATGTGTGATATTTTGATACAAGCATACAATGTATAATGATCAAATCTGGGTAACTGGGATATCCATCACCTCAAATACTGTTACTTTGTGTTAAGAACATTCCAAATCTATTCCATTTATTTTGAAATATACAGTAAATTATTGTTAATTATTGTCACTCTACTGTTATAGTGAGCAGGCCTCATTTTTTCCATCTGACTGTATTTTTGTACTGATTAACCAACTCCTCTTCCCCCTATCGCCTACTACCATTCCTGAGGAATTTTTTTAAGAAGGAAAGAAAACAGGTGACTTGAAGGGAAGAGAAGGGTTTCAAAGGGAGATCAATGGTGTATAAATAGACTTTGGCTCAAGAAAAGACAAACAATGTTGCTGACCATCAGTTCTAAAGCCGCCATCCCCAGTTAGAGAGGAAGAGCCATTCTGACTGTTCCAAGCAATTTTGTAGGGTCTTTGTGGGATGATATTGGGGTTTGCTGAAGCCCCATACACAAATCCTGCTTCAACGTTAAACTTGTTTTCTCTCCATAACATGCAGCCCTGTTTCTCATCACTCAGTAACTACTCAGTCTGCTAGTGCTTTCAAGTGACTTCCCAATTGATGTCAAAATTTGTTTGCCTACAAATGGCCTTTACGTAAGACCCAGATCTGTGGTTGAATTGCTCTGGCATAAGAGAGACCACCCTGTTGGCACATGCATGTGAACACACCTCACAGACACACACAAAGCTGGGAAATGGGAGGGGAAGGATGTCCTGGAGGAGCCTGGAGGCATTCCAAAGCAGAGACTTGGAGAGGAGACAGAAAAAGAAGAGCAAACACTGAGAATGGCAGGATATCTACTGTAAATGTTCAATAGTGCTTTATGTTTGTGGTTCCCATGAGGCGGAATGTGGGAGGAAGGGGAAGGAAGTTATTAGCTGAACAAGTACCACATGCTGTATGCTTTATAGACAGCTAATCAAGTGCCCCCAGGGCAACTCTAACAATATTCCTATCCTCATTTTATAGATGAGGAAAATGAGGCTCAAAGATAAGTAACTTGCCCAATAGCCATGCAACCAATAACCAGCAGAGGGACCTGGGTCTCTCCACTCCAAAGTTTCTACAGGTTCCCCTCTTCCCAGTTAAAGCACAGTGTAGGGTCCTCGGGCGCGGTGGCTCACGCCTGTAATTCCAGCACTTTGGGAGGCCGAGGCCAGCAGATCATGATGTCAGGAGATCGAGACCATCCTGGCTAACACGGTGAAACCCCGTCTCTACTAAAAAATACAAAAAAGTAGCCAGGCGTGCTGGTGGGTGCCTGTAGTCCCAGCTACTCGGGAGGCTGAGGCAGGAGAATGGCATGAACCCGGGAGGCAGAGCTTGCAGTGAGCCGAGATCGTACGACTGCACTCCAGCCTGGGTGACAGAGTGAGACTCTGTCTCAAAAAAAAAGAAAAAAGAAAAAAGCTGAGTGTAAGAGTGAGATGGAGATGAGCCAGGTAGAGAGGATGCATGCCAATGTGCTACAGGGTTTGAAGAGTAGCAGGAAAGATTCGAACATGCTGGATGAAGAAACAAAGAAAGTATGGAAAGAGGCAGGGAAAAGGAGGGTTCTTCTTGGGCAAAAAAAAAAAAGCAGGGAAGATGGTAGAAACAGTCAGTTATGAAAAGACCTTGGCAGGAAACAGAAAAGTGGGCAGTAACTTACAGGGAAAGTTTTAAATGGAAGCGATAAAAGAAAACTCAAGAGTTATCTAATCTCAAGCAAATAGTCATAATCTGAAGATGACTATCTAAGGTAAGAGTTAAAGACCAGCTAACATGGACTGAATACTTGCTATGCATTTGGCACTTTTTAAGGGGCAAAATAGTATAGGGATATGATTTAAGGGCTCTGGAGTTTCAATCTCTGTGTGACCTTGGGCAAGTTAGATAACTTCCCTGTGCCCCCCTATCTAGACTGGAGATAATAGTACCTCCCTTATGAAATTGTTGGGTGGGTTAAGTGAAATTGGATAAAATCCTCAGGGTCGTGCCAGACACATAGTGGCCCTCAATAAATTTTAACTATTATTATGAGGTGGTTTGCATTCACCATGTCTTTAATCATTACAAATCTGTGAAGTGGGTATTACTATTCTTATTTTACAGGTGAGAAAACAGACCCAATGGGGTGGAGAGCGATTATTACTGGTCATCTGGTGATTAAACAGACGTTTCCACAGCACTTCCCATAGTCCCTTTCCCCTCTCTCAAAGGAAAAAGGTCACTCTGGTGATGATATTCAAGGGGAAAGGCCTGCCACCCTCACAGATGCCAGGCATTGATGGCTGCAGTCTGACCCCATTCTTTTTTCCCCCTCATCCTGCAGGGAATGTGTGTGGTTCATAACTTTAAAGGAACGCAAGGATCTCCTTCCAAACCCAAGCCTGAGGATCCCCGTGGAGTACCCCTAATGGCTTTCCCAAGGATAGAAAGCCCTCTGGAAACCTTAAGTGCACAGGTATGGTAAAGCAGTTTTAGCAAACCAAACCCACAGGCTGAACACTTTGGGAGGTCAGTATCAATCCATGAATACCACTTAATCTACCCAGCATCAATGAGAATCTGATTAATTTATTGTAAAGGCCCTCACAAAAGGCAGCCTTCACTTTTTCCCCTCAATTATTCCTATATTTATTCCGGGGGTTGGGGCAATCATGAATCCTCAGAGAGTTCTTAGTAATGTCTAACTTAAACCTTAGCTGTTTCAGGATACTTTGACCTACAATATAATATCACATTCATGAAATTTGCACTAATCATATGGAAAAAAGCAATTTGACTTAATAACTAGGATCATATTTGGAAAGAAAAAGGTTGTGTTACACACAGTGATGTAAGTTGGAGGCACATTTTAAAAGGCTACTAAATGTCCCTTTGGACCTGTTTTTGTGACAAAAATTCAATGCAACAGTACCTCCTGATCTGTTACTCTACAACAGAACCTTGCATCATACCAGGGATACAAAAAATAATTGATATAGTCCTTGCCCTCAAATAACTCATAGATAAGGAGCAGGCATGGTGGCTCACACCTGTAATCCCAGCACTTTTGGAGGCCAAGGTGGGAGGATTGCTTGAAGCCAAGAGTTGAAGACCAACCTGGGCAATGTAACAAGTCACCATCTTTACTAAATAAATAAATAAATCACAGATGATCAGGAAAGGTGGATATAAATAGGTAGTCATAATATGACATGCTGAATCAGAGGTGCACAAAGTGCTGTATGAATACAAATGAAGGGGAAAAAAATCTACTCCATGTGAGAAGACAGGGAAAGCCAGGAAGACGACTTGCCAACTGAAAGGAGCCTGGACAGATGATATGAAGCACTTAATTTTTCCCAGGACAATTGCTAGGAGCTTTACAAATATATCATTACTTGAACAACCACCCTATTGAATAGATACTATAATTCCTATTTCACAGGTAAAGATAAGAATGCAGAAGACAGGCCGAGCGTGGTGGCTCACGCCTGTAATCCCAGCACATTGGGAGGCCAAGGCAGGTGAATTGCTTGAGCCCAGGAGTTTGAGACCAGACTGGGCAACATGGCAAAACCCTGTCTCTACTAAAAAAATACAAAAATTAGCCCGGCATGGTAGCGCATGCCTGTAGTCCCAGCTACTCCAGAGGCTGAGGTGGGAGGAGTGTTTGAGCCTGGGAGATTAAGACTACAGCGTGCTGTGATCGCGCCACTGCACTCTAGGCTGGGTGACAGAGTGAGACCCTATCTCAAAAAAAAACAAAAACAAACAAACAAAAAAAACACTGAAGACAGTGATGTTAGATTACCTGCCCGAGGTTGTATAGGTAGCAAGTAGGAAAGCTGGATGAGTAGGAGTTCTTTAAGCAGATGGGGGACAACTAATAATATGATTTTCATTAGCATGTCATCTTTTTCGGGTAGCTGAGCCCGGCTAAAGTGTTTATGTTTTGTCATAGTCTGTTTATCGTAAAATCTTGTTTGCATTTGGCATTTTCCTACTCAAGCATTTTTATAGAAGATATAAAAGATAAATCACTTCCCTTTGTTCCCTTTGGAATTATTATGTACTTCATATCAGTGCAATATAAAATAATATTTTCACTATTTAACGATTATTAACTATGACATCTCTCTAAGACAAACTACCCTATGCTCTTTTTTCCCCCGCTGAGATGGAGTCTCACTCTTTCGCCCAGGCTGGAGTGCAGTGGCACAATCTCGGCTCACTGCAGCCTCCGCCTCCGGGGTTCAAGCAATTCTCTCGCCTCAGCCTCCCAAGTAGCTGGGACTACAGGCACGCGCCACCACGCCTGGCTACTTTCTTGTATTTTTAGTAGAGACGGTTTTTTGCCATGTTGGCCAGGCTGGTCTCAATATCCTATGCCTTTTTACCTTTAATTAAATCTAATATTATTAATGAACCAGGTTTTGAGGGCGGGGCTTGGGGGGGTTGGAACAAGAAATCTACCTCCGTATCTCCATTTTAGGAAAAATATTTAAGGTTCTCCATTAATACAGTACCAAGTATTGTTTTGTTTTCCCTTAATTTGTATTAAGGCTAACATTTTAACTTGGTCTAGAAATAAAATATTAACAAAAATATTTCTGGTTTATTTATATACAGCCTGTTGCTACAGGTTAAATATCAAATTAGCTAAATAGCGATACCCTGTAATGAAATAGTGAAATAGAATCTCTCTAACTTTTCTTCCCTAATTACAATCCTGTGTTTAGTGAAGTCAGAGAGGGTCTCTATTTTGGGGTGGTAAAATGAAAACAAGTGAATTTTAAAAAGAAACAGAAAATATTTGCTGAGTTCCATAGACATACCAGTCTCTGTGTCCTTGTAAATGCTATCCCCCGAATATCCTGATATAAGAACACCCCTTTTGCACACCTCATCCTTCCACCCAGCACTGCTCAAGCATGACATCTGTCTAATGTCTTCCCTAGACTTCTTTCTCTCTTAATTCTCAGGGCCACTGATGGTTGATCAGGCCTAGAGATGTCCAGACTCTATTTTGAGGGATTCTACTTAAATTGAAAAATGAAGTGCTAAACAGGGTTTCAAAAAATGCTATTCACAAGATAAAGGATTCTTAAAATAGATATTAATTCATTGTTTACAGGTAGTAGTTGAACTTCTCTCAAACCTGTCAACAGATCTTTGTGATTATGGATGCCGCCTCATATGGATACAATTTGAGGCCTTGCCCGAATACCAGGCTTGGGCCAAAGGACCCTCCAGACCCCTCTCATGTGACTGTCACTCATAAGTAAAGCCAAGTGTTCCCTCATGTCTGCCTCCTCCAAAGACTTGGGACTTTTTGAGGACCCTATAAACCATGTCTTATTTACCATGTATCCTGGCATCCACTAGGTGTGAAATACATATTGATGGATGAATACAAACTTGTCCCAAAACCTAAAGTAGACACTTTAGCCAAAACCAAGAACCTCAAATTTGACCATAATCACTATTTGAACATCCACGGAAAGTAGAGATTTATAAGAAACTATGAGAAGGACTTCTGCAGGCTAGCCAGAATGAAGCCACAGAAAGCTAAAGAGAAGTATTGCCTCTCACATTATGCTATCCATACCAGTCGTGAAAAATGCAAGTCACCAAGCATCTGTTTTTAGTAATAAATGTTTCCACATGGATAGTTAGAAAGATAAACCCTTTATTTGTTGGTCAAGAAAAGAGAACTAGCATTTATTGAGAGTCACCTCATTTAATATTCATGATACTGTATTGGTTTTATTATATCCTATTTTATAGATGAAGAAAGTAAGGCACCAGGTTTAAGTAATATGCCCAAGGTCACCCAGTCAAAATTAAATGAAGACCCATCCAATACTGAGGCCCTGCTGGTTCTCCTACACCACACAGTCTGAGATTTCATTCAATGAAAATTCTTTTTTGAAATCCACAACTCCCAGCATTGAATATGAAAACATGCTACAGGGGGCTGGTATACTGAACCTGAGCTACAGTTTTTCCAAAGTAAATACCCCCCTGTGAGCAAGAACTTCCCTTGCAACTCCAACAGCCATGGTTTCTGTTAGAAACGGCATCTTTGTAATTTTTGGAACAGAACCATCTTCCCAGCATGTGGACCTTTTCAGATCAGAGATTAGAACCTCTCTTCAGAGCACACATTCGTACACATGAAATCCATCCCACTATTCAAAATATCTTAAGGAGAAGACTGGATGGGGAGGGCATCAGTCACGCTCGTTTCCCTTTCTCCCAAGACATTCTTTCCCCTTTGCCACATGCAGCCCTCAGAGCCACAGTGCTCTGGGCCTCTCTAAAACATTACCTCAAATTTGAATATCTACCTTCTGTGATTCCCCTTAGTATAGTTGATTGAGATGGGGTGCATTTTCTAAAATCTTTCCCAAATACCATAGAGAAACCAAAAAGTAAACAATTATAAAACAAAAATAGTCAAGTTTTTCAAAGCATTATTTTATGATTGTATAAAGTTGTTGGGATCCCAAAGGAACCAATTCTTAATTATCCATGTTCTACACCCCGCCCCACTCACAATGTACATGAGCAATCAGCTGAGTGTTGTTCAGTTGAGTTCTTGTCCACACAGTTTCTAATAACAAAAATTAAATTAGAAATGAAACAACTGTGTTAACTCACTCTGGATGTGGTATAGAGTCTCCAGATGTCTTCCCCATGGGGGAAAAATATATATAATTATATAAAATATATATTAAATATAGATACATATATACACTAATATATATTTATATACATATATAAGTATATATATATGTTACATACATACATATCATTTAATTTTGATTGGTGACCTTGGGCATATTACTTAAACCTGGTGCCTTACTTTCTTCATCTATGTATGTATATATACTTATATATGTATACATATATAGTTAAAAGATACTTATACATATTTAATATATATTTTATATCACCTGAGGTCAGGAGTTCAAGACCAGCCTGGCCAACATGGTGAAACCCCGTCTCTACTAAAAATACAAAAATTAGCCAGGCGTGGTGGCAGGCGCCTGTAATCCCAGCTACTCAGGAGGCTGAGGCAACACAATCGCTTGAACCCAAGAGGCATGGGTTGCAGTGAGCCGAGATTGTACCTTTGCACTCCAGCCTGGGGGACAACAGCAAGACTTCATCTCAAAAAAAAAAAAAAAAAAAAAAAAAAAAAAGACAGAAATCAGGAAAGCAATAATAATAATTAGATCAAAGCCACAGTTTGTTAAAGATTTAATAATTTCATAGACCCAAAGCATTGAGTTTTAAGTTCAAATAAAAGACAAGACTTTAGGTTTGCAAGAAGTGGGAGGTTATATATATATATATTTTGTTGTTGTTGTTTTAATTGAATGCTTCCATTTGATGAACCTGGAGCAGTTACTATCTGCTGCTAAAGTTTCTATTATATTACCAATGCAAGAAAAAAAGTGTCCTTGAGCTTTCTGTCTGATTGTGGCAGCCAAGATTGAATAGAGGAGTAATGGCAGGGAAAACATGGAGAGAGAATTTTTGCAACTCAGAAATAACCTTGTAAACAGTGAAGAGCCCATTTTACTCAAAAGAAGAACCTAAATATCCACCCTCACCTAGTTGATTACATGTATAAAAGCTTAATAGTTAAAACTAATTAAAAGCCAGCCAGTGACAAAAATATTTGACATAATTACAAGGAAAATGGATGAATCCTCAGTCACAGGAGATTGTAATACTTTTCTCTTATTAATAAGCAAACAAAAATAGTAAGGATACACATGATCAATAAGGTTGATCTGATGTGCATTATATATAACCCTCCTCAAAACACATGAAACATTATGAAAATGCATCGTATACAAGACCATGATACAAGTCTCAAGAAAAACATTTTAATGGATCTGTATTATGTAAGCCACATTTTCTCTAGCCAAAAAAGTTAAACTAAAAACAAACCCCCCAAAAATTCTATACATTTTGAAATAATAAACTCACTTCTATGTAATTTGTGACTCTAATGATAAAACATGTAGAAAGGTTTTAAACACTAGAGCTGTTTCATATTTAAAACATTACATTAAAAATGTGCGGGATGCTAAATTACTTTGAGGCTCTTAAATGTTTATATTAGAAAATACTTAAGCATAAGACAGAATTATATAGAGAATAAGTTTAGGTGAAGATGCTAGGCACAGTAGCTTGTGCCTGTAATCCCAGCACTTCGGAAGGCCAAGGTGGGAGGGTCAGTTGAGCCCAGGAGTTCGAGACCAGCCTGGGCAACATAGTGAGACACTGTCTCTACAAAAAATTTAAAAGTTAACCAGGCATGGTGGCATGTGCCCAGTGTCCTACCTACTCGGGAAGCTGAGATAGGAGGATCACTTGAGCCCAGCAGATCAAGGCTGTACTCCAGCCTGGGTGACAGAGTAAACCCTGTCTCAAAAAAAAAAAAAAAAAAAAGTTTGGGTGAAGAAGTTATCCTATTTTGGATGAAAAATCAGGGAAGTTTTAATAAAAAGAGGTAAGGAGGCCAGGCATGGTGGCTCATGCCTATAATCCCAGCACTTTGGGAGGCTGGGGCGGGTGGATCACCTGAGGTCGGGAGTTCGATACCAGCCTGACCAACATGGAGAAACTCTGTCTCTACTAAAACTACAAAATTAGCCGGGCATGGTGGTGCATGCCTGTAATCCCAGCTACTTGGGAGGCTGAGGCAGGAGAATTGCTTGAACCCAGGAGGGAGAGGTTGCAGTAAGCTGAGATTGCACCATTGCACTCCAGCCTGGGCAACAATTGTGAAACTCCGTCTCAAAAAATAAAATAAAAAAACCAAAGAGGTAAGGGAAATTCAGGGGCCTTGGAAAAGCATATTAGGGGGACGGAACAGCCTGTGTACCCTTGAGGAGACAAAACAAGGGAATATTTAGGGACAAGTGAGTGTGCACGTGTCAGGCAACCCTATCTCAGATTTTATCTGCTTGTGTTTGCTCCACAGAATCACTCTGCGTCCATGACCGAAGTTACCTGAGACGACTGATGTGTCACAAGCTGTTTTTTAAAATCATCTTCCAATTCTATACTTCAAAACACACAGTTGCTCAATGTCAAACTGTGATGACAAATATTACGTTTATCTAGTTAGAAGCTAATGTTTTGTACATTTTTTGTATGAGGAAGTGATGTAGCTTGCCCTGATTTTTTTTTTTTTTTTTTGGTCAGCTTTAATATATTTATGCCAGAATTTTAAAACCAACAAAATTTTCTTGTTCAAGCGTGCATTGAAGAACCACATTTATTCAATGGTTGACGTTGTTTTGTGATATTTGTACACAAATTTTCTTTTCTCAGTTTTATAAACACAGAATATAACAATTCACTTTAAACTTTTATTACCACAGTTGCTGCCTCCTCCAGAATTTTTGAATTTTAATAAAAGGCAAACTTTTGAGCTGCAGGAAGGACAATGTTGGTTAATAATAAATCTCAAAGTCAATTGTAGAAAAAAAATTGTCTTCAAAAAGAATGTTGCACTCTGATCTCTTAACAAATTGTTACGTTCAAAGTTTAAAGTGATATATTAACAAAGTCACCTAGTTATACAAACAATTGTCAGAGAATTCTGGATTTGGAGGGTATTGGGGTTATATGATTCTTTCTTAGATAATGGCCTCTACTAAATAACTCAAGATCTTTCTGGAATGTCTTCTGGCAGGCAGGTGCCACTGTCAGCTTTTCTCCAAAAAGCAGCCAACATCAGCCTCCCCTGTCAACTCAACAGTTTTGTATCTCATATTATATGGACTTTATATGAAAATGAATATTTTACAGTTTGCACAGTATTATTTTACAGAAAAGGAATCAGAGAATCTACAACATAGGGCCCCAGAACAACAGTTTCACTTTGTGGCTTTTAATTATTCTAGAATTTTAACTGCATCTCATTTTTCTAGCATGGTGAGAACTAATATGTAACTCCTTTGATTGAAGGAGCTCTTTTGTCCGTACCTATCAGAATGTTTTCTTGACACTTCCATGTTGGCTCTTCTCAGCTTTTTTTGTACATATTTTTTTTTTCTAAAGAGAAGAAAAAGTTATCACAAAATGTATTCTGGCTCATGTCTTTTGTCTTAAGCTTTATCCACAGGACAAAGGTATTTGAAGAGTCATGATGAAGTGAACTCAAGTGTTTACACTGTTCAGTTCCACGTCTGCTGAAATAAATTCTAATAGGGGCATGACTGAGGGATAGCTTCACAGGTGTGTGTGAGAATATGTGAGTGTTTAGGCAAATAAAATTCTTTAAATTATTAAGATACTCAGAAACATTCTGGATCCCTAGCACGCTCCCTCTACCTTCAGCCTACCCATAGATACTTCTGAGTTGTCAATAAAAAGTTAGATAGTAGTTTTTAAGAACAAAAGTTACCTCTGCTAAAATTTTTCATAATCCCCCATCTCATTCTGGCCTAAGCTTACCTATGCACATACAATGTCATACACATCTTCTGGGTGATATCTGACTACAGTTAGGAGAGGGAACCAAAGAAATTTCACAAACATAATCTGTCTGTTTTCAAAACACTGAGCCCAGTGAAGCTGTGACAAAGCCAAAGGAGTACGATATATGTCAGCAGTAATATCAAAACCCAGGTCTGCCCAACTCCAAATTTCATTCTTTCCACTACATCAAGATATGCCTTTGAACCGAGTCCACATCTTTTCATGGGTTTTCAGTGTAATAAACCTACTTATCTGGTTTAAGGGATGCTGCTGGAAGAAAAGGAAACAGTGAGAAGGAATAATTTGTAAGCTCTGGGCTCTCCAATCCTGTATAAGCTACCTACCTGTAATGTCACGCAATTTCAGAATGATTTTTCTTTTTCTAAACATATTTTAGGATTTTTTAAAAAGAAACAATGAGGGATTCATTTTATTTTATTGTTCATCATAAGACATGCTGAAAAATGCTGGCAGTCTAAATTGCTTTTACATTACCCATTTCTTGTCACAATGTATCTGGCTACCAGATAGCATTTCTAAGAACATAAGTTGGTAGAGTGAGTCATGTTATCCTTCTATTCTTCTTTCTAGTTCTGATTTTAAAGGGACCTATCTGTAGTATTCCAGGAGCTTTGGCCACAGACTCCATTTTCCTGGCCTTGGACTTGGGAGATGGTGTATGACTGAGCCATGCTGAGACAGCACTCTGGTCCACTTGGAGCTAAGGGGCATCTCTGGACTCCTACCCCTGGAATCCCTGAGTCTGATTCCCTACCACTATGGCATGGCAACTTTAGTGTTGCCTCCTATTTAGCCCCAAGACACTTCACAGGCCTCACACTGATCTGTCAAGTCTGTCATTCGAAATTCTTCAGGCTAGAGACTCCTCCATGTGGGTTGCCTGCCAAGGAAAAAGCCGTCTGTCCAAATAGGACAAGTGGCGACTGTAGCCTCAGAGAATGAATTCTGCAGTAAACTTTTCTCTTTTTAAGGAAAGCCCACAGGTGCATGAGAAAGTCTGACTCTTCTTGGAAGAGGAAAGTGGGGGAGGAGAGAGAAACAAAGGAAGGCTAGCCAGGTGTGTTGACATAAGCAACCTCATGAAGCTGTTAGCCCCTGTGTTTATCTATGATGTCTTTTTTTTTTATTCTGTGCCAAGAACATCACCTGACACAGAAAAATCACTTAGTTAAAATTTCTGTAATACACAAATAGATGCCAGACTTATTCCTACTTTGGCTAAAGGGAGACTATGACTCATTTGGAAATAAAGAGGATTTTAGCGGAGCCTGAAGATAGCTGAAAGATGAATACATTTAGATGCAGGACTAACAATGGTGAGGAAACTGCACTTACCAGCTAAACATGTGGGTGCCCCTTTTGGTAAGTTCTAAATATCTCCCTATCAGGCTGTGATAGACAGATGGGCTATATGTAGCTGAAAATATAGCCCTTCAGGAGAGAATATGTATTCTGTACTGAATCAGAGAATGCAAGCAGGCAAAATTCTACCCTCAAGATGCAAGAGAGTAGGAATCACTGGGATGATATAAAGAGTGAAAGAACCACAAGTGGCATTTTTGTTTCAAAAATCTGATTAGACTCCCTATTACAGGCAACTGCCAGAACCTCTCAAATGTGTTCAGTGTCTTAGAGGTAAATACATCAAATACCAGATTGCCGAAGTCTGTTTTAAGGAGTAGATTACATTATGGTCATTATACTATTCCTGCTCTTATCGGAGGAACCCACCCCCAAAATTTCAACATAGGTTCTTTCTATTTTCCATAAGTGTCAGCAGGCTGAGAAATAAAGATAGACAGTATAAAAAGAGGAATTTTACAGCTGGGCTGCTGGGGGTGACATCACATATCAGTAGGACTGTGATGCCTGCCTGAGCCTCAAAACCAGCAAGTTTTTATGAAGGGTTTCAAAAGGGGAGGGGGTGTGAGAACAGGGAGTAGGTATAAAGATCACATGCTTCAAAGGGCAAAAAGCAGAACTACTACTAAGGATCTAACAAAGATCACATGCTTCTGAGGGAACAGGACAAAGGGCAAAAGCAGAACTATACTGATAAGAGTCCAACAAAGATCACAGGGCAAAGGGCAAAAACAGAACCACTGATAAGGGTCTATGTTCAGCGGTGCACATATTGTCTTGATAAACACCTTAAATAACAGAAAACAGGGTTCGAGAGCAGAGAACCGGTCTGACCACAAATTTACCAGGGCAGAGTTTTTCCCCATCCTAGTAAGCCTGAGGGTACTGCAGGAGACCAGGGCTTATCTCAGTCCTTATCTCAATCACACAAGACAGACACTCCCAGAGTGGCCATTTATTGACCTCCCCCCAGGAATGCATTCCTTTCCCTGGGTATTAATATTAATATTCCTTGCTTGGAAGAGAATTTTGCAATATGTCTCCTTCTTGCGCGTCCATTTATAGGCTCCCTGCAAGAAGAAAAATATGGCTCTTTTTGCCTGACCCCACAGGTAGTCAGACCTTGTGGTTGTCTTCCCTTGTTCCCTAAAAATCATGGTTGTTCTGTTCTTTTTCAAGGTGCACTGATTTCATATTGTTTAAACACATGTTTTACAATCAATTTGTACAGTTAACACAATTATGACAGTGGTCCTGAGGTGACATACATCCTCAGCTTATGAAGATAACAGGATTAAGAGATTACAGGCGTAAGCAATTATAAAAGTATTATTTTGGAACTGATAAATGTCCATGAAATCTTAACAACTTATGTTCCTCTGCTGTGGTTCCAGCTGGTCCCTCTGTGTGGGGTCCCTGGCTTCCCACAACATGCTCTGTTGAATTCAAGACATGTACTAGAACTAGCATGTCATTTACTATCATCCCCTATACTACTATAGGGATTTTTAAATAAATACCAAATCCCTTGCTCACATCCTCATTCTTGATCCAGATTGTTCCAGAATTGATAGATGCATTCACTTATTCAATAAGTACTTAATGAGCATCTATTATGTGCTAAGATCATGTGAAGAACTGGAGATACATAACAAAATAAACAGACCTATTTCTTACCCTTACAAAGCTTAGAGTGGGATAAGAGGAGAACCAACACAAAATATTTAATATATAAATGTTTTTAAGGGACTCCTGATTTAGACAGGGAAGATAGAGTTATCAGTTAAGGCTTCTCTAAAGAAGTGACATACATATTGGGCTATTCAGAATAAGGAGGTAATGAGACAGAAACCCTAAGGAAAGTCATATCAGGCCAAGGGAACAGCACATACAAAAGCCCTGAGGCAGGAAAGAGCTTTATACATGTGAAGAACTGAAGGCTGGCTGGTGAGTAAAGGGGAAAAAGATATTTAATGATACTGAAGATCAGAGATCTTGGAGGACTTGTTATGGACTTTGAATTTATCCTAAAATGGTAAGAAGCCCTCAGTGGACAGGAAGCCCTCAGTAAACAGGAGAATGGCATAGTTAGATTTGTATTTTTAAAGGATCCCTCTGGGCTACATCTGTGTGTAGAAAGTGTAAGAGGGTATTGTGTTGGACTAAACATGATTATGATTGATGTAGGGTAGTGGCAGTAATGGTAAAGAGAACATGCATTGGAAAGATATGAAAAATATCTAGGAAGCAGACTCAACAGAGTTTGAGACCCAATTGTATGTGGTGGGATCATAGCTTTCAATAAACACTTTCTTCCTAGAGAACACTTTTCCAGATCTGATTCCCCCAACTCACAGGAGCCTGGTGACAGATGAAAAGCTGGAAAGGAAAATAAATTGAATTTGGATTTACTCTCTAGCCCATTGACCCATAACAGTTTTACTTCTCATGGAAACCCAGGTAACACCACACACACTTCTAACACTAGAAATGACTCTGCCAGGAAAATTAACTTTTGCACCTCGCCAAACTAGTGCCTCTGTCCTCATCCTGGCTTGTCATTTTGGTATCCTGTGTGTCAGCATCTATAAAAAGTTACATTTTGTGGCTTTCCTATCAAGCCAAGTAAAACCATGTGATCAATGGAGGGGAGGCTGAGGGTAAAGCTCTTTTCCTCAAAAGCATTCTCTTTCTCTTTAAAAGGAAGATGTGCTTACATTTCCCTATTAATCTTAATGGAATATCCATCTATCAATTTACTTCATGTTCTTTGGAACAGAGAACAACTCTTCCTTTGGGATGATGTTTAATGCTGTTATACAAAGTAATTTCTCTGTTGAATTGTCCTATAAGGCCAAAAGTTTTTTTCAACTTCAAGCGATGTTTTTTAGTATTTCAGGATTGGATAAATCCAGACTCACTAAAGTCACACAGACTTCTTATATGTATTTCTATACAAAATATGTCCCCTTTTTATTCCCCCTCTTGGCGGCCAAAAGTTTCTTTCTGTCTTTGTAGGGATGGTGCAGTCAGGTGTTTTCTCATCTTGGCATTTTTTGCTCTTCAGCAGCCATGGGGTTTAAGTGTGCGGGTGAGCAGGTGCAGCTCCACCACAGCAGCCCATTGTCTGGTGAAGGTTTCTCTGGTTCAGGGCCTGGGCCCAATGAGGTCCATACCTAGGGATAACTAACCAGTCACCACTTGTGGAATTAATTCATCATTTGAGGGATTTAAGTGTGACAACCTTGAAAACTAATTTCTGTACATTTGGCAAAATTAAGTCAAGCCTAGAAGGCAGACCCGGGAGCCAAGATTCCAGCAGAACCTTGCAAAGAAGAAAGCTGAAAAAAAAAAACCACATTTCATTATGCTGAAATCAGATCCCTGAAAAGTAAGACCTGGGTGGTGCTGATCCCAATGAGGGAACTCCAGTTCATTTTGTTTTTTAAATATAATGGCAACACCCACAATAGAACCTGGATGTATTCATGAAAGCCATGGGTAAAAGGAGGAATAAGAAAGGATGACATATCTATAAAACAAGAACACATTTTAAGAATCAGATCCAATTATAGAACATGAAAATTAAAAATGATCAAAATAAAACCCAAGAGATTAGCTAAATAGATTAGACACACCTTAAAAACAAGTTAGTAGGTTGAACAGTTAAACTGTAAAATTCTCCAAGGATGCAGGAGGAGAAAGTAGAGAGAAAAGTAAGAGAAAATTTTAATATTCACGGAGAATGAATCCAGAAGCTCCAAAATCCTCTTAATAGGAGTTCCAAGGAAGGAACAGAAAAAATGGAAAAGGTGAAGTGGTCAGATAATTAACAGAAGCAAATGTCCTAAAGCTGAAGGCAGATTGTCTTAGTTCGTTTGTGCTGCTATAACAGAATACATGTGACTGGGTGCTTAATAAAACAGAGAAAAGTATTTCTCACAGTTCTAGAAGCTGGGAGTCCAAAATCAAGGTGCCAGCAGGTTCAGTTGTCTGGTGAGGACTGCTCTGTTTCCAAGATGGTGCCTTGTTGCTGAATCCTCAAGGGAAGGAACACCGTGTCTTTATGTGGCAGAAAGCAAAAAGACCAAACGCTCCATGAAGCCTCTTTTTATAAGAACCCTAACCTCATCCACGAGGGAGGAAGCCTCATGGCCTAATCGCTTCTAAAAGGCCTCAGCTGTTAATACTATTACATTGTATGGCAACCCTCCCATTTTCAGGTGTTGGAACTTGATGTATATTACATTACATTAAGTGTTGAACATTAAGTTTCAACACCTGAAATTGGGAGGGACACCATACATTCAAACTATAACATAGAAACAAGTTTTTAGTTTGAAATAGGCCATATAGTGCCAGTCAAGATAAATTTAAAGAGTACTAATAAACCTAACCCTAGTCATATCTTGATGAAATCTCAGAACAAAGAGAAAATTGTAAAAATCTTCCAGAGAGAGAGAGAAAAAATCCCACAAAGTAAGGAGAATCAGACTTCTCATTGGCAAAAATTGTCACCGAAAAAAACCCCAAAGTGCTGAAGGAAAATAATTGTTAATATCAAATTCTTTCACTATAAAAATTATCATTAACATGTCAGAGCAAAAGATAGACATTTTCAGATGTACTAAGATTCAAATGAATATGAATCTTTCAAGGAATTATGTGAGCTTGTACTTTGAACAAATGGCAAAATAAAAGTAAAGCCAAGAATTTCTTAAAAATGAATTGTAAGACAGAGCAAGGATGCCAAAGTTATTGCTGTACATATAAAAAGAAAGAGCAAGGAAATTATTAAAGCATAGTTATTATTGTTAAAAATAATCTGAAATTAATGGGGGAATTCCATGGGAGAAAAAGATGTAGTACATACTAACATTCTTGTCTTTGGGGACAGAAAGGTAAATATCTTGAATATATCTCTTTTTTTAACTTTTTATTATGAAAAATTGTGGGCAAACATAAAAATAGAGAGATAATATAACAAACTTGACTACACCCATCATCTAAACTTAATAATTATTCACATTTTGCCATATTTCCATAGTATTTTAAATTACCAGATGTCACGACTCTATTATGCTAAATATGTCAGAACGCATCTCTAAATAGTGACTTTTTTACATAACCACAATGGTATTATTACACCTAACAAGATAATAACAATTCCTTAGTATCATTTAATATCCAGTCCATATTCAAATTTCTCGAATTATCCCCAAAATGTCTTTTTACAGTTACTTTATTCAAACCAGGGCCACACATCACATTTTGTTGATATGTCTCAAGTCTCTTTTAGTTCTGAAGTTAATTGCCCCAGCCCACTCTAGCCTTTCTTTTTTTCACGTAATTAACTTGTTGAAGAAACAAGGCAGTTGTCCCGTAGAATGACCCATACTCTGGATTTGTTAACTTGTAGGGCCATTTACCTTGTTCTCCAGATACCATAGTAATTATTAATTAATTGTTAAAGGCTTGATTAGTTTCAAGCCTACTCCTAGGATTAGTTTCACTACTCCTGAAACTGTCATTAGGAGTAGTTCTAAGCAGTGCTGGGTCCTCCACATTACATCCCATCATGAAGCATATGTCACTGACCCCTTTTACAGATGCTAAACTTAAGCAGTGAGTTCAGGTGGTAATAATCTGATTCCTTCATTGCAAAGTGACATTCCTCCCCTCCTCCTAGTAATGGCAAATTATTTACAGGATAACACTTTGTACTTTTGCAAAATCACTCTTGGGTTTAAACAGAACAAAAAGTAAATCAGAACTTTCTTAGAAATTAATGAAATGAGAGCACTGCATATCACAAAGCCAGGAAAATACAAAAGCGGCAGCAGAAAATAATTTATTTCTAAAAATCAGAAATCAATGAATCAGTAAAAAACAATTTGACCAAAAAATAAACCAAAAACTGTCCCTGGAAAAGATAAATAAAAGAGAAATATTTGGCAAATCAGGCTGAGAAGAAAAAGAAAACATGCATATAAACAATAGGGGCCATATCAAAAATTGTAAGAGAAAAATGTGTTCTAGAAAACATGGGTGCAATTCTGAAAAAATGTAAATGTCCAGATTGGCTCTAAAACAAATTTTAAAACCCACATTAATCAATATGAGAAATTAATTTATTAAAATTAGATACATAAGAAAAATTAGTCCATTAATGAATGAAATTCACCTCACTAACAGACTGGAGAAGGACAGCTTTATGAAAATAATAATGGCTAACTCTAGAATAGTAATTGCTGTGTGCCAGGCACTGTTCTAACAGCTTTAAAAAATATTAACTCATTTAATTAATAAATGCCACAAAGGCATTTGATAAAATTCAATTTTATTAAAATGGTAAATATATATTTTAGGAATAAATAGAAGCATCACTATTCTAAAAAAAGTAAGACTCTACTGGAAATCTATAGCAAGCATTATACTTAATGGTGGTTTTAGAACTTTTCATATCAAGTGTCAGAAACGCAATTCAAAATCGTTTAAACAGAAAATGTATTTCTGTCAGTAACTTGGAGTTTCTAGGGAATTTATCTAGATTGGCAATGCCTGGGCCCAGGGTATTGCTAACTGGGGTATAGAAGATTATTCAGTTTGCAAGGGGCCAGGTGTAGTGGCTTATGCCTTTAATCTCAGAACTTTGGGAGGCAGAGGCAAGAAGATTACTTGAGGCCAGCCTAACCAGATCCTGTCTCTCCAAAAAAAATTAGCTGGGCTTGGTGATACACACCTGTAATCCCGGTGACTCAGTAGGCTGAGGTGGGAGGATAGCTTAAGCCTGGCAGTCTGAGGCTACAGTAAGCCATGATCCTGGCACTGCACTCCAGCCTGGGTGAATGAACGTGCCTCTGTCTCAACAACAAAAACAAACAATAAAAAAATTTGCAAGGGTATCACCATTTTGAAATAATAATGTGCCTTAGTTCGTATAAACTAGGATTCAATTTACAAAAATTTGAAACACGTACCAATTTATGAGAAATACTTCCCATGAATGTGTGCCCGGTCCTTTGATTTTTGTCTGACCACCTTCCAGTTGATTCAAGATGACTGTGAATCCAGCCAAACTAGGAGAGCCCCCTCTCCCCACTGTGCTCTTGCCTTATCCTCGTTATCCTCCCACCCGCACTCCAGCCTCTGTCCACCCCATCATCACTCAGCTTTTGCTCAGAGTTTGCTTCTGGTCTTAATGAGGTGTTGCCTGAAGAATTTCTGGATCTCCCCCAAGGCGTGCTCCTGGGCTGCCGCATGAGCAGCAGCGTCTCCTCCCCAGAGCAAAGGCCTGGAAATGCCCGGGTTCCAGCACGCGAAGCACAAGGGAGCATAGGGCGGTTCTAGGAGGTGGCCTGCCCCGAGGTGCACCAGCATCCTCCCGCTGCTTCTGCCATGGCTCTGCAGCTGGTCCACGGCCTGCTCAGCGTACGCTTTGCTATCCAGGCATTCGTCACTCTCCCCAGCAATGAAAAGAATCCAACCCCTAGCCTTTTCAACAGGAAGCACACTCTGCTGATGGAGCCCATCTCGGGGAGTCTCCCTTACAGTGGCAGAGGAGCACAGCTCCAGAGACGTGGACCTGCAGGCGCTCCTGAGCTGAGCTGAGCTGAGCTGATGGGTGTCACAATCAGATCCCCGTATCTGAGTGGAACTTCAAAGCTGGCGTTGGGCCCGTTAATGCAGACGGTGGCCACCACCTGCTTCAGGTAGCAGGCCATAGCCAAGCCAATCTCGGCACCTTTGCACACGGAGATCACTCCAATTCCTGGCCTTTGGATCTGAAGCACAAAACAAAGGGAATCTGCTACAGGTCACAAGCTGAGAAAGAGCTGTCCCGGGCATGCCAATAAATAAGTATGATGGAAAGAGTCAAAGAAGGTCGAGTCTTGGCACTCAGATTTACCAGCTCCTGGGACTGAGAATGTTACCCACTTAACTCTCACTAACCTTTATTGTCTTGTAGGGATGATACCGACCTTGCAAGGCTGTTATGAGGATCAAGTGAAACAATAGAAATAAACACTCTTCATCAATAGTAGAGTTTTGTAAGGGCAAAAAGAGTCTAACCCACCAGTGATGCTTGGCATTACAAGAATAGAGCCAGGTAAGCTTTCTGAAGAATAAAATTCTTGTCTCTAGCCAGAAAAAAAGGGTGTTTTTCAGGTTCTCTCAAATATTATGTAAGTGGAATTCACATTTAAATAGCATTTTATAGCTACAAAGGTTTTGCCCATATATTACCTCCATAAATTCAACAGCTAATCCTGAAAGCAATGAGAGTATGAAGACAAAAGGCTTGGATTCAGTAAATAATTGAATTGTAGTACCAATAGGAAAAGGTAGTAGCTCATAGAGGAGGATCATTCGTTCTCTGGTAGACTGAGGGAGCTGAGGGGACATGAAAGGTCTGAAAGATGAGGGGGGAAAGGAAGGGCACTCTGGACAGACAACGACAGGTACATAAAGACCTAGTTTGTTTATTTTGCTCACAGTTGTGCCCCTAGCACTTCCTGTCATCAGAATCATCTGATTTTTTTTTTAATTTGAGCTTCCTGAGACTCAATTTTTCAAGTGTCTGTTCCCATAGGTATGAGTGGGCCCAAGAATCTGATACTGTAAAATGTCCCCCAAGGAAATTGGGAAACATCTGTGTGATTAATGAATAAGGGAGTGAAGGAGGATGGCTGTAACTGGAAGTCAGAAATTGACTAGTAGGCTAAAACAATCTCAAGGAGGACGAAGAAGGTCCTCCTTGAGAAAGACAGGAGTAGAACCTAAAACACTTGTGACTGGTTGAAGACTTGGGGAGAGAGGGAAGAAAATAGATGGGCAAAGATAACAAAGTGGTTTTTTTCAGAGTTTACTCTATGCTAGCTGCTATACACACATTATCTCAGCTGGTCTTTCCAATAGCCAAACTGGATTCAGGAAACTTAAAAGATTTGCTTAAGGCCACAACATTATCAAGGGGCAAAGGTGGAAATTGAAGCTTATCCCCTGAATCTAAATCTAAGTTGAATATCTGCAGTTGACTTTTCTTCCTCAGATTAATTTCACAAATAGTTAAATCTGAAATGGAAAAAAAATAATTTGAAAACATTTTAGTTGGGATTTAATTCTTTTTAGGCAATCTTTTAAAAAGACCCAAATAAGCTTAGAAAAATTACACATGTTTTCTCAACACTAAAGATGAAGATGTTGATAATGTCCCAATAGGAAACATATCCTCTCTCTCCTTGAGAAGAGTCAAGGCTCTCCAGGGTTGGGGTGGAAAAGAATAAAACATTTGAGGAAGTCAAAGATAATTTAATGGTTTGGAGCAAGGACCTTATCAGATTGTATCTGTCACTTACTGCCTATGTAGTTTTGACACATTACTTTAAATATGCTTTCTCATCTGAAAAATGAGGTTGCTGTTGATAGTACTTCATAAGGCTATTGTGAATGTTACATGAGACTGCATATAAAATGTTTATCATAGAGTCTAATAAATATCAGTCATCAAATGTAAGCCAGTATTGTTTTACCAGTATTAAGTTGATCCACAAGAAATGGCTGACATTTGAACATTTTGATCTGCAAAACAGTAAGTTAAACTTAGTAGAATACCAACCCTGATACTTGATATTGTGATATCTATTTCTGGGTTTCTTTTTTTTTTTTTTGGAGACAGAGTCTCGCTCTGTCTCCCAGGCTGGAGTGCGGTGGCCCGATCTCGGCTCACTGCAACCTCTGCCTCCCGGGTTCAAGCAATTCTCCTGCCTCAGCCTCCGGAGTAGCTGGGACTACAGGCGTCTGCCACCACGCCTGGCTAATTTTTGTATTTTTAGTAGAGACAAGGTTTCACCATATTGGCCAGGCTGGTCTCGAACTCCTGAACTTGTGATCAGCCCACCTCAGCCTCCCAAAGTGCTGGGATTACAGGCATGAGCCACCGCGCCCGGCCTCTATTTTTAATCATTAGCACAAATATCAGTACTTTGGAACTCCTCAAGAGAATAGATCCTAGTTCAACTAATATTTACCTCTTAGAAGAAGCTAGGTTAATGTTACTATTCCAGTCCTTCTCAATCATTAATGTGCATAAGAATCACCTGAGGATCTTGTTAATATGCAGTTTGCTGTTTCAGGGATGGAAAATGAGATGCTGCATTTCTGAAGGCTTCCAGGTGATGCTGTGGCCACTGGTCCATGAACTACATTTTCAATAGTAGAAGGACACACTTGACAAAGAGTGCTAAAATGACCCTTCCTTTTCAGATTCCTTTCTCTAGCCTGGCTCTTGGCATTGGACACTTACTCTATGCTTCACTTGGCCCCTAGCTCTGAAACTAACTAAAAAGCTAATTCAGCTAGTCAGGTAATGCAGTCAAGTCAGTTTTGCCGATACTCCCGACCTGATCTTGTATCTTTGTCCTGATCTTAGTTTCAGGACTCTTCAGTGTGACTTACTACAGCATTATCCCCCTGCAGAGATAATCACTGAAGTTTCAAAACATGTCAAATCAGAGAATTCCTGATTTGAGGTGAGTGACAGTAAAGCATTGAAGAGACCCTTATGAATAAGTTACAAACACTTCAAATGAAAGGCATCTTGGTTTTTTTCCACTAAAAAATAATCACATTATGTCCACCATTTATTTATTGTCTTCTATGTGCCAATAAGCACAAAACTGATCACAAATCAACTCAACAATCTTTCAAGGCAGTTATTACCATCCCCATTTAACTGTCAGCTCTGCTGTGTCCAAGTCTGTGCAAATTGGTAAAACAGAGCAGACACTGGTGATTTTGTTTTTTTGTAGTTGTCCAAGGTAAAATGGAAAGTATTTTAAATACCTTGGGATGAGCTAGTAGCAAGTTGGCAGCTTCCTCAAAATATTCCAAGTCCACCTCCTGCAGTTTGTCAGGCAAGTCTTTGTAGGCAAAATATGCTAATGCCAGCACTGCAAAACCATGGGAAGCCAAAAGACTGGCCCGAAATTCTACTAGGCTCCCAATGCCCCCAAACAAATCAATGACTCCTGGGAAAGGGCCTTCCCCTGCGAGTGCAAAGAGAGAAGAGAATGGGATCAGAAAGAGCGAAAAAAAGGTCAAATAGCCGTGAAAATGCAAGGTGAGCAAAATTACACACACACACACACACACACACACACACACACACACACTGGCACATTAGTTTTAAAACTTTATGGGAGGCCAGGGGCGGTGGCTCACGCCTATCATCCCAGCACTTTGGGAGGCCAAGGCGGGCGGATCACAAGGTCAGGAGATCGAGACCATCCTGGCTAACACGGTGAAACCCCGTCTCTACTAAAAAATACAAAAAATTAGCCGGGCGTCGTGGCGGGTGCCTGTAGTCCCAGCTACTAGAGAGGCTGAGGCAGGAGAATGGCGTGAGCCCGGGAGGCGGAGCTTGCAGTGAGCTGAGATCGCGCCACTGCACTCCAGCCTGGGCGATAGAGCGAGATTCCATCTCAAAAAAAAAAAAAAAAAAAAAAAAAAAAAAAAAAAAACTATGGGAAATACGGGTTCTCTAATAATTTGATACAATTTGTTATTGTTTTTATTTCCATTATGATATGGTTTGGCTGTGTCCCCAGCCAAACCTCAACTTGAATCGTATCTCCCAGAATTCCCAGAGTCAAAGAAGGAACTCTGGGAGATACGATTGGGAGGGACCCAGGGCAAGGTAATTGAGTCATAGCGGCTGATCTTTCCGGTGCTATTCTCATGATAGTAAGTCTCACGAGATCTGATGGTTTTATCAGGGGTTTCTGCTTTTGCTTCTTCCTCATTCTGTCTTGTTGCTGCCATGTAAGAAGTGCCTTTCACCCTCCGCCATGATTATGAGACCTCCCTAGCCATGTGGAACTGTAAGTCCAATTAAATCTCTTTTTGTTCCCGCTTTCGGGTATGCCTTTATCAGCAGCATGAAAATGAACTAATACACATTAACAGTGGTTTCTGTATCACAAAAGATTAGTTTCACCTGGAGGGAGAAAAAGGGCTCCTTGCACTGGACCTTCTTGGATCTGCTGCCTCTGCACCCCAGGGCCTGAGAACCAGTGCTGCACGGTCTGGCTGGCCTTGGGCTGAACAGTGGCTGAATCTTGAAAACAAATGGAGTCATATAGGTCCAGACTGACCCAAAAGGGGCTGTTCATCACATCCTGCTTGAGCAGCCTCCGGAAAGGCCTCTCAGGCTTCAGAGACCAAAAGAGGCCCATTGGATGTACCCCCATGTAGTCACCTCCAAATGCGGGAGCCTGCTCCAGGTCCACCTCACCAGCCTCATTAGCCCTGTAGAAGGCCATGGATCAGAATAGATTCCTCTTCTCGTCCTTCAGCGAGGCCTTCAGAGTTACCACCTGGGATGGGGGCAGGCCTGTCCCTTGGATATGCACTGGATCATCTGCAAGGGCACTTGCTGGGGTGGCTGACAGCTGGAACATTGGCAACTGGCAAGGGACCAAGTGGTGCTTCACCCTCTGTAGTGGGAGAGAAGACTTTAAGTTGGAGATTTAAATTCCAAGAAAAGGTCAAGGCAAGGTTTATATTAGGTCTGACCAAATTAAACTTCTGGGAACTTAGTGAAAAATGTGCAGAACTTTTGGAGGAGGGAGAGAGAGACATGCAGAAAGTACTCATTGTTCTCATTTTACAGATGAGGAAACGGGTTATATGGCATGCTCCAAGTCTCACAAGTAGTTGATAGTAGAAGTGGGAATTCAAGCTATATCTGACACCACAGCCTTCTGTCTTATCCATTATAACACTAGTAAATCTTAGTTTTGTGGTTTTCAGTACATTAAGGTTTAATTCTTCAGCTGAAATAATACCCGTATGACCTATCTTTGTAAGGTATTAGGAGCCAAGGGGGATAATACATGACAAAGGGCTCTGAAACAACACTGCTTTTCAGCCCCCACACCTGTTGGGTATGGCTATGGGCACAGACTTACATAAACACACTCTCTGTTATTGTCGTTGTTATTTTCCTTTTAGTCTGTCATCCCTACCTGCCATTGTTAGACCTCTAGCTCTTTGCAGATTTTCCATTGTTTGTTCTTTTTAAGGGAAAATAAAACTTCATGCTCTTGTCTTTGCTATTATGCTTTTCTAATAGAGTTATGAATGCCAATGTTGTTTGTAGTAAAGAGACTACCATATACATTTGATTGGCCACTTTGTACCCTGCTCCATTATAAGGAAAATGGGGTCTTCTTCCCTCCCTCCCTTCCTTCCTTTCTTTTTTCCTCCGTACCCCATTCCACAAAAGATTTGAATCTGTTTACTGACAAAGAGTAAAACAGTTAAAGAGTAAAATTAAATAAAATAAGATTTGGGAAAATATGGACTAGGATTACAAGTATTTATCACAGAAAACCTGGAACATGAAAAGAAGGGCATTTTGTGGGTTGTAAGTTTGGTGCCAATCTACTGATAGCCAAAGGAAAAAGGGCTGCCTGGTCAGTTATGTTGTTCTAACTATTCTCATAGAAAAAATTATCAGTTCCTTAGGGGAAAGGAAAAAGTGAGGCCCTTCCCAAAAAGATCTTTAGCTCTAAAAGATATTTCTCACATGAGACTTTGGCATATACATCTGAACCATTTTTCAACAATATCTTCACAGAAATAGCAGTAATAGGTGTCCCCCTAAAAGCTTGACTCTCCAAGGGGTCCTTAATTTTATTTAGGGGATAATTCAAAATAAAGGCTTTGGGGTTTGTATTTGGGTGCAGAAAAACTTCTGTGGAAATAAATAGGCTCCAGTAGTGCAGGTGGAGGAAAAGAGCAATTGATGCCTGTCTTAGTTTGTTGTGTATGCTATCAGGGAATACTTGAGGCTGGGTAATTTATAAAGAAAAGAGGTTTACTTGGGGCTTATGATTCTGCAGGCTGTACAAGAAGCATGGCTCCAGCATCTGCTCTTGATGTGGGCTTCAGGCGGCTTCCACTCATGGTAGAAGGAGAAGGGGAGCCGTCATGTACAGCCATCACATGAGAGGAGAGAAAGCAAGAGAAAGAGGGCAGGAAGATGCCAGGCTCTTGCTAACAACCAGCTCTCAGAGGAACTAAGAGTGGGAGAATGCACTCATTACCACAAGGACCTCAACAAAACATTCAGGAGAGATTTGCCCCCATGACCCAAATACCTCCCAAGAGGCCTCACCTCCAAGAGTAGGGATCAAATTCAACGTGAGATTTGGAGGGGTCAAACATCCCAACTACAGCAATGCCCAATTCTCTACTGTAGATAAGAGATTAGTCATCAGAGGTAGAAGAGGATCAAGGGGAAAACGTCTTTTTGCATTTACTTTTAAAAAGTGATTTTCTGCAAAGTACACACTCCCACCTGATAACCTCATTAACAAACAGCACTACTGACCATTTTACACACACTTAAATTCATGGTCAATACATTAATTTTGAATAAATAGAATGATTATGAATATATTTTCTCAATATTGGGAAAGTTCTTGACAGAATGTGGCATCATTTCCAACTTCATGAGTCTTTCATTCATGTTAGGGAGATGGGACATGTAATATTAAAAAGAGTGTCTGGTGTCCCCTGCAACATTTCAATGTTCTGTAGGTATTAATATTTTCTGATATGATTCCTTCCTGTAAGCCTCTGTATCTGCTGTCCTCTTTGTCCCCCAAAAAGATATCTTTAAGAAGACATCATTGATTCTTCCTCTCCTTGCTATTATTCTCCTTCTCTAAACTTCTGTACAATGCATTAGCCCAATACAGCTTTTATTTTTATAGTTAATTATTTTAATTGCTTACTATAACCACTCTTCAGCATGCATCCTGTATCTAGTTTTATCCTCCCAAATGAGCCTCTCAAGGGTAGTAACTGTGTATGAAAACTTTAGGGATCCTTTCAACATTGATATAATAAATTATACAATGTACATGTTTAGGAGTTATAAGGTTTATAAGGGGCAGAATAAAATAGCACCAAAAATGTAATGGAAATAAATATTATATAGTACATGTGTGATTGAAGATTTGAGGCTTTCTTCCCAACTTGTAGTTCCTTTTTATCTGAGAATAGTCTCCTAAAGCCCAGAGCTATGATCACTCAAGAGCTATGTATGTACCTTGTGGCATCAGCCCTGGTGCCATTGCTGATTGGATTAGAGCTGAATTTCAGATTCAAGATGTGGCAATGATGTTTTCACCTTGTTAGCTTAGAATTGAGACCCAGAGATCAATAGTCACTCTCTCAGGGTCAAGACTAAGGTGAGGCAAGAGAGGCACCTAGAGGACCAAAGTTTACTTTCATGTCACTGAGAGACCAAGCCTCTAAGGTCTTCCTGATATTTTGCACCCTTGAACCTCTCTTTCCTTACCCTGGCCCTGGACTCACATGTAATTGAATCCATAAAATTCAGAAGCTGAAGCTGTATCCAGATAATCCCAGAAAATCAGTCTTAGGGAAAAGATGTGGGAGTTTGAGGGGAGGGGGAGAGGGAGAGGAGGGGAAGGGGGGGAAGGGGAGGGGGAGGGAGAGATGGGGAGGGGGAGGGGGGATGGTGAGGGGAAGAGGGAAGGGGAGGGGGAAGAGGAAGGGGACGGGGAGAGGGGGGGAACGGGGGAGACGGGGACAGGGAGAGGAGGAGGGGGAGATGGGGAGGGGGAGAGTGGGAGGGGGAGGGGGAAGGGGAATGGGAGGGAGACATGGGGAGGAGGAGGGGGAGATGGGGAGGGGCAGGGGGAGGGGGAGGGGGAGATGGGGACCAGGAGAGGGGGAAGGAGAGAGGGGGAGAGAGAAGTTATGAATGAATAAAGTAGATATAAAGATGAAAGGCAGAGAAAGTAATCTTACTAGATTTCAAATTCCTGGTTCCAACCACTCCTGAAGGTCAACTGTACTTGAGTTCTTTGAGACACTCTGGCATCCTTATAATAGAATCCCTTTGTTTACATTAGCTTGAGTTGATAACTATTACTTGCAATCAAAGAGTCAACTAGTTCAACTTTGCATTTCACAAACTCGGGATGATTGACTTCTGTAAGGTCATATCATGGTCAAGAGAGAAAAGGTGCCAAGTTTCCTGACTTAGTTGCATGCTTTTTTTTTACTGGCCAACAGACTATGATTCAAACTTTGGGAAAGCATATGACTTTTACTTTTTCTAAAAAGTTCTACTGAGTGAGAAATTCCTCTAGGATATCCCAACAGTCTGGGGTTTCCTTTTGGTCATATCTGAGAGTCTACCAACAGAGAAAATCCCAGCATCAAACTCCTTCCTAAAACCAGGCTGGCTATGCCCCTAGACTATGTGATGGAATCAATCTCACCCTGTTATATGAAGGTCTGGTATCCCACATCACTCACCACCTCTCTGTGTTGTCTCTGCTACTCTATATTAGTGAAGGCTACTAATGTCAAGGTACAGAAATCTCCAAATTTTGAGGCCCCTAGTCCCAAAAAGAGATCTTTCAATATAATCCCACTTAACCTTTACCAACAGAAATATATCTAACCCGGAAAAAATGATCTTGTTATCTAAACTGAAAAAACATATTATACATTTTCGTGTATAGATTCCTTTCTGGTGAATTGATAGCATCAGCACACTGTAAACTAAGGAGAGCAGTTGTAGGATTTATTAGTTTAGCTACAGAAAAATCAGTCTTTTCCCATGAGTGTGGGTACTTTTTTATTCTCAGCCCACTACTATCAATTCTCCTTAAAGCTGGGGTATTTGTTTGTAGACACCTGATTTTCAGTCTGTAAGAAACACAATGATTCCATCATGTTTCTGTCCTTGAATCACTTGTTGAATTGTATGTTAGGACAGTGACTGTCTTTAGGACTCCGAGCATGCACATTAAACAGCCACGAGACATACAGTCTGTATCAGTCTTTTCTCACGTTGCTGATAAAGACATACTTGAGACTGGGCAATTCTATTCTCCCCTTAATTTATTTTTCTCTAACAGCAATTATTAAGCATTTACTAAAAGCTAGCTACTGGATAATATTAATTCCCATAGTAAAGCTTTTTCACTTTTCAAGGCTCTTTCAAGGTCATTATTCCCTGTGGGAATGACAACCCTGTAGGAATAAAAACATATTACTATGCTTACATTACAAATTAGGAAATAGAGCTCAGTGAGTTAAATGATTTAGCCAAGTTTGCCTATGTAGTCAATGGTGAAGCAAGAATCTTAACTCATACCAGGTGACCCAACACATAAACCTTAACTATTTTCCCCAAATGAGAGTAGAAATATGAAAACTCACTCTTCTCTTAACCTACCCCTCCTTTTTTTCTTTCTCAATACTTTATTTTTAATTTCATCTTCATTTTTCCTGACTCTGAACCTTTTAGTTAAGTATACACCCTGTTGCATACTTTGGCAGGACAGATAGTGAAATAGTAGAATTATAGCCCACAAACTCATGCGTGCACAAATGTATTTTTTTCTATTTTTCTAGATTCCAAGTAAATTCCGTTTTAAGTATTTGTTCTAAGATTATATCTCTGCCACCTGGAGGAACAAAGACTCAAAATAGAAATTACTTGGAATCCAAGTAAGTTTTCTGTGACTTCTATAATGCTGAAAGACTCGGGAAGCTTATATATTATTGTGCATTCTTCTGAACCTGCTGTACAATGTATGCCAGAGGCTCCAAATTCAGATACCCATGGGGACCCAAGCAGGTAATATAAATTTATAGATAAGGGCCAGGAATAAATGAGATACAGAACTGTAAAGAACTAAAGACAACCTAGTCTTTAGCCCAGTCTAAAGGTATTCAGTGGGCAACAAAACAAGATATGAACCAAACAAAACATACTCATTTATGACTTCTGGAGTGCATATCAGCCATTAGGATTTTTATAACTCAAAAACCAAAAGAAGATTTTTTTCCCTCTTTCTGATGTGCTACCTTTTTTTAAGGCAATGGATATCAACTGGACTCCTTTAGGTAGAAGAAGGATGACAAAGTAAAGTGGAAATGCCAAAATGAGGGGATGAGAAGTGGGAAGTGAGAACCCATCTATTAATATGTCCAATGATAAAGAATGAGTTGAGCCGGGCGCGGTGGCTCATGCCTGTAATCCCAGCACTTTTAGAGGCCGAGGCAGGCAAATCACGAGGTCTGGAGTTCGAGACCAGCCTGGACAATATGGTGAAACCTCATCTCTTCTAAAAATACAAAAATTAGCCGGGTGTGGTGGCGTGCACCTGTAGTCCCAGCTACTCAGGAGGCTGAGGCAGAAGAATCACTTGAACCCGGGAGGTGGAGGTTGCAGTGAGCCAAGATCACGCCACTACACTCCAGCCTGGGTGACAGAGCAAGACGCTGTCTCATAAAAAAAATAAAAAAAGAACAAGTTGACACTGGCTGGCCTCAAAATCCAAAGCCTTCAAACCTCCTTGCCATCTCTCCCCATGCTTAATCTATATGACTTTTTCCTACTTTTCTATTACATTTGTATTACCTTATTCTCAGTTGGATCCCAACTAATCCATATACATGGATTCATACCCTTGTTAGTTGATAAGGCTTATTGCTTCTCAGAGCTAGCTCCTCATAGATTCCAGAGTGTTAATTTATAAGATCCTTAAGGCTTCTCCTGTCCAACACTTCATTGTCATAATCATCAATAAACTACCTACTGTATAAGGGACACCCATCTGAAGAGGTCTCTCCTTCCTCTGGGCCCTCCAGCATGCCTCTCAAAGCACTTAATATATTGAGCCTTATAATCATTTATGTTGTGTTTTCTCTCTCCTATTAATCTGAAATTTTCTTGAGGGCAGAATTCTGTTTGATTTATTTGTCACCTTTACTGTATACAGAGCCCTTCACATACCATGTGTTCATAAATGATTTTAACTGTACACTCTTCATTCCCACAAACTCTCGTCCTTTTTCCCAAATCTTTCTTCCTTTTTACAGTTTTTTTTTTTAGTCTCTACAATATTGTCAGACTGATCTCTGCAAAACTCAAAAGTCAAATTACTCTTCTACTTTAAACTTCCAGTAGCTCCCGGATTCATTTAAGGGTAGAATCTAAATCCTTTGGCATAGCACTTAAGACCATTTCCAAGGGAGTGGCTCTACCATGGAGCCCTAGAGACTCTACATGTGTCTACATGGGATGCACAGGCAAAGCTTGGACTGCCATATGACCTAAATCTGGGTGGAATGCCCTGTGATCCTCCTAGGAACATGGCAAGGGAGGAAATCTTCAGAGAAGGCTTCGCGAGGTTGTTTTCTCATCTGCCTCTATCTTGTGGGATGCTGCCATGAGGCGGTTTTCTGATATAACTCCCAGGTTCCAGAGGAACATGAGACTTCCAACTTAACCCCTATGCTTCCGTAGGGCAGAACTGCAGCTCTATAGCCATTTAGCTGCAGTCTGGAATTGACTGGCCAGCAATAGGGTGTATCACAACTCTTGCTGAAGCCATCTGACCCCTTTTGTTTCAGTGCCATCCTTTTGGTGTGTGGGATAAGGACTCATAGGGCTGACATCTTTAGCTTCTCTTTTCTTCACTATGTATATAAGTAATAATCTGGCTGAATCTAAAATTAGTTCATTATTTCTTTACCAGCTGAATCTGTAAGTGTTAGACTTGGACGGTCCTTTGTGTTTGGCACCTTTCATAATCTGATTCAATCAAAGCCTTTAACCCTGATCTATTTACTAGTCTAAACAACTATCTCATTACAAACTTAACATATGATATTGTGAAAGTCTGCTTCTTTATCTGACTATCCATTTTCTGCTCTATACAAATACAGTAGTCACTAGCCATACATAGCTAATTAAATGTAATTAATTAAAAATAAATAAAACAAAAATCTAGTTCCTCAGCCACACTAACCACAATTTAATTGCTCAATAATCACATGTAACTAGTGGCTACTATATTGAACAATGTAGATACGGAACATTTCTGCCATTGGAGAATATTCTATTTGATAGCACTATTCCAGATTGTAAATTCCTCAAGGACAGAAATTCTACCCTGTTCAACACTGTGTTCTTCAGTTCTTAGAATAGGGCCTGACACATATTTACTAAGCAAGTGGCTGCTTAATAAATATTTGATGAATACATGAAAGAATAAATGATATGCATAAAAGAAAAAAAATTGAGTAAAATTTCTGAGAGACGATGAATAAGAAAGAATAGAAGCCAACTTGACTGTTTATATTCTACTTCTGAAGATGGGAGATGCTTCAAGATCCGATTGAATATATTTTCCCAGCTTCCCCACTTTTTTGCACTGGAAGCCAGGACTCCTCACACTGCAGGGTATTCAGGAAACAAAGGATACAAAGCAGTGGAGAACAAGCAGCATTAACCTTGCTGCCTTCCACAGGATTCGCCTTGAAGTGGTTGGGGAGGGAGCCCTTAGCAATATGGAGACAGCCTTATTGGAGGCTGAACATGAAAGCAATGTTATGGAGTCTGGAGGTCCCTGACCACAGTAAAAGGGATCAAGTCTACATCACTGGGAGACAGTGGCCTATTAGAAGAAAGAGAAGTCAAAAACTGGTAGAGCGCCAAAAAGAGGGGCAGAAAACAAAGAATAAAAAAACAGAAGGTCACCAATGCAGATTAAAATTACTAATCAAGAAACAAAACTCTTGTTTTCTTTAGGAGCCTGTTGCTTTTGTCATCACTGGCACTTCATCTCTCAGTCCAGGTAGAAATACCGCCCCCAGCTTACCTCCCCCTACTCCCGTGCACTAAATCGCAGGAAAAGTGTTTTGAAAGTCAAGAAACAATCTCTATAAATTCTTATTAGCTGGACCCTTACTACTCTGGAAGCCCAGCTGTGCATGTTGCCTCCAAAATAGTCATCCAGCAATCTCTTAGTTAGGTTGATGCATCTGACAAAAATCTGTATTTCAGAGCAATGAACCACCTGAGATGATGATTACTCGTCCCTCAGAGAACTGTGTTTTCCTCTGGGATGACAGAAACAAACACAGCAAGATGAAAGCAGCCTTTCCAGATGCCCTGCAGGCAGATGTATCAGAAAGCAGACCCTCTCTACAAAGCAATGACATCCCTGACTCCCCAGATACTCACCGTGAGTTCAGCTGCAGGAGGCAGACTAAAGCAGAATGGCTCACTGAACTTAGAAGCCAACTTAGAAGCACTGGATGCTTGCCTGTTGCTTGCTAATTTATATCATTTAAAACAACCCAGCCTATTGAAAGTTGAAATTGTCTGCACAGAAACCATCCACTACTCCTGTTTTTAAGTCCCCAGCGACAGGGCTACCAGCAGATGCTGCCGAAGGGTCTGGGCAGAGCCCAGTCTCTCTAGTCTGCTTTTTAGTTCAGGTGTTCACAATGGAGTCTAATATTTCATCACATAGCTCAGGTTTCTAAGCCTTTTCTCTTGACTCACTCAACTCCTGGTTCTAATCTCCTTCGCTTTAGTTCCTTCTGTGTCTCCTCCTCTAAGTCAGTGGTCTCTGGACAGTTTCCTCTGGAACAGTGTCTAAGAGAGCAAGTCCCAAATATCAATTTTAAGAGCAATGTGAGCTGGTGGCATAAGACTCACCTGAGGAGCCTGTTAAGTAAAGATTCCTGGGTCCTGCACCTGAAAGTTCTGACTTGATAGGTCTGAGATAAGGTTCTTGCATATGTATTTTTAACAGGGATTTCTAATGTGTATCCTAATCTGGAAACCACTTTTCCAAAGGACAGCAAAAGCTTACCCAGACAAAAATGCTACCCAGAACTGGAACTACTGAAATTTTCATTGTCCCATTGTTAATCCCATCAGCCAAAGGCCATTGTCAAAATGTGTAAATGAGCTAACTTACAGATTGTAGACTCTGCTTTAGGCTGTGAATTCCTTAAGGGAGGGGCCTTGCCTTTTTGTTTTTGTATCTCTTGCAGCCAGTAAGCTATAGTTGGAAGATCACTGGTCTCTGGACTCAGATTTAGATTAGAACCCTTACTTCATTACTCTGTGCGACTTACATCAAACAAATTACTTAACTTTCCATGTGCTTCAGCCTTCTAATTTGTAAAATGGGAGTAATATGATAAAATGGAATAAAAGTGAAACATAAGACTTGGAAAAAAGGGGTTGATCTTGGAACTCAAAGACATATTGGGATGTCTAGAAGAAGAGGGAGGTATTTTGGTACACAGTTCTCATACTGGATGAGAGGTACATTGATGAGATAGCAAGGACCCCATATTCATGACTAATTTCCAGAACCAGATACAAACATAGGAGGTAAAGTGGAGGAGAGGTGCAGCAGAAATAGAAAGTGTTGTTTTTACTAAGACTCTATGAGAAACACAGAAAAAGGTAGGCAAGTCATGATGACCCAGGTGGCAAAGCGAAGTACAAGCTAAGAAGTACATCCAGGCCTTCTCCACCCTGCTCCCCAGAACAGGGAACATGGTACTCCATAGACCATCAAGGGATATAGCCAATGAGAATTTAGGACACTGGCAAAGCACCGGACGTAAGGTGTTCACCATATACAAGGGAGGTATTCGCAGTTGTCAGTAGTAGGTATGAGCCACACACACACACCAAAAGTGAGAGGACATTCCTCAACTTTGGTCATATCACTGAAGAAGGCCTGGAGCAAGCAGAGCTAGAAAAAGAAAAAATGAATGGTCAGCGTCACAGGGAAGCAGATAGAACTTATTGGTTAACACATGAGACATCCCTAAGGATACCCTACAAATAACTGTCAGGGGTGTTTTCAGGAGAAAATATTTTCCACATTCTCCAGAAGGATCAGGAATTGTAAAATAGAGGTTAAGGTATAAAGTAGTTGACATATTTTAGAGCTTAATGACTGTTACTTGATTTTCCTTGCAAACAATTGAAGAAGAATTTAGAGTGCCTGGATACCCTAACATTGACAAATTATTTTAAATAAGCCTCTGTTTTATTTGGTGTATTTGTATTATTCCATTTGGAAAAATTATAGGAAAACTTAAAGTATGACACAGCTATATATGTGCATATTTGCTTAACTAAAATATATGCACATGCAAACTGAAGAAAATCACATATGGCCATCCAGATGACATAATCAAGCATACTTGTAATCATTAGCAGCCATCCTTAACTATTGTGAGATATAGTTCCTGATAGTAACCAAGATGACTGTGAATTTGCCACCATCCATATCCATAATGGCAATCACATAGCTATTATGGTATCAGTTCCATATTCATTCAACAATAATTCATTAAGTTCCCATTATGTCCAAGGATGTTTGAATTAACCAGGACCCTGTTCCTGCTCAAGAAATTCGTAGACTAGTTCAGGGGTTGGCAAACTACAGTCTTCAGACAAAATCCAGTCTCTATCTGTTTTAATAGATAAAGTTTTTGTTTATGTGCTATTTACAGCTCCTTTCACTTTACAATGGCAGTCGATGATTGCAATAGAGGCCATATATTTTGGAGCATTTCAGATTTCAGATTTCAGATTTTCAGATTAGGGATCAACCTGCATAAATAGTTTCAGTTTCTTTGGAAAACCCTGACTAATACAGCCTATGATCCTAAAATATTTACTTTCTACCCCTTTATAGCAAAAGTTTGCTGACCCCTGGTGTAGCTGAAAAGATAGAAAAAGTAAACAGGCAATTCTAATGGAGTGTGGTAAGTGCACTTCCAAAAATAAAATCCTAGGAATACTCAGAAGGGGCACCTAACACATAGCAGGAAAGATTCCTGGAAGTGGTACCTATGAGTGGAGCTTGACACCTGGGTAAGGACTCACTGGATAAAGAAGTATAGAAGTGCCTTCTAGAAAGAAGGACAAGTTTATTTATAGATATATCCCCTTTGTGGGACTGCAATATAATAAAAGCTTCATGAGGGCAGGCATTTTTTTTTTACTGTTTTATTCCTTAAAGTATCCAATCACCTGGAACTATTCCTGGCTCATTGAGGGTGCTCAATAAATATGCACTGAATGAATTCAAAACATTCAAATGGCTGGAGTACTGGGAAGATGAGTTTGGAAGGAAGAAAGTTATATAATCAAGCCAAACAACAAAGTGAGGCCTCAGAAATCATATGCTAGTTTTTGAACATTGATCAGTATTTACATCACTAATGACAGATTAGTTTGGACTTAGAAAACAGTCCTTATCTGCTGGATTCTGGCCTCCAAACCCAGTGATTATTACTTGAGGGATTTTAGAGGTTGAGTTGGGAGGGGATTAATGGAGACTGGGAAATTTATGAATTTTCTCTTTGGAATGTACTTTGAGACTAGTGCCCAAATCTATAGAAAGGGGAAAGTTTTTGAAATGACAATTATTTTTAACTCAAGCCTGTATCCACTAATGCATCATCTTTTTTATTTACTTGGATGCAGTAGCTGTGACTAGGGGGTTTAGAGCCAACAGTTTTAATTAGAATGAAATAATGAGACATTGTCCCTATCTTACCTCATTTGCCAATGGCTGATTGACAAACCTAAGAAATGTTATGAATAGCATGCTCATGGAGGAAATAACTGGCTAGTTTTAAATATGTCAGTATGAAAATACTACTTTAAATGAGAGATTTCAATTGTATAGTGAATTAAAAATGATTTCTGGCTAAGGCATAAGTAAGCTCTATGTTTTACCCTCGTTTGGTCACAATGTAGATTGGTCTTCAATAACACTTATCAATGATTATTCACAACTAAAATTAATCTTCCAGTTATCCTAGAATATTATTTTTCATTTTTGAATCCCAGGAAGTATTTCAGGACTCTTGTTATAACCTACCACACTGAACTGCTCCTGACTACCTGCCATGCTTAGCAAAAAGGTCTTCTTTTTCCTAACATAAATTTTAGTATCAAATTAATTTATACCATGTGTCATGTAACATCTTTTATCAGGGAAATTTTACTTTATAGATTGCAATCTTGGAAGTATATTATTGTGTCCATTATAATCTTTTAAAGTATCTTTTTAAAAAATCTAGAATTACTGAAAAAAAGGTTAAAATTTAGGAACATCTGATTGCTTAAGTCATGGATAAGGAGAGGGGAAATGGTAGCAAAAATAAATGATTTTGCAATGAAGCCTATTCTTTTTTTTTTTTTTTTGAGGTGGAGTCTCGCTCTGTCACCCAGGCTGGAGTGCAGTGGCACCATCTCAGTTCACGGCAAGCTCTGCCTCTGGGGTTCACACCATTCTTCTGCCTCAGCCTCCTGAGTAGCTGGGACTACAGGCACCTGCTACCATGCCCAGCTAATTTTTTGTATTTTTAATAAAGACGTGGTTTCACCGTGTTGGCCAGGATGGTCTCAATCTGCTGACCTCGTGATCCGCCCGCCTTGGTCTCCCAAAGTGCTGGGATTACAGGCATGAGCCACTATGCCTGGCCACAATGAAGACTATTCTGATGGTTTAAAGTCACCAGGTATACTTAGGGATTCCATGAAGTTTCCACATAGCTACAGCACAATCAATGGAAACTATGACTCTTTTTGTGATAGATCCAAGAATGTTCCTAGTCATTAATGGAACCTAAAAAATGTTCTCCATAAGAAGGGTAAATATAGAAATTGAAGTGTTTCTAGCTGTCCTAAGATAAAAACAATGACGGTGTATGACCAAAATTTATTTCAAATTTCCAGACAACAGAGTTTAATAGACTATGGGAGAAAATCTCAATATAATGGAATGGAGAAAATATAGGGATAAGTCCCCGAATTCTAATCCCAGTCCTGCCATTAAATTAATTGCAAAAAAAAAAAAAAAAAATTCAAGGCTCTGTTACTTACCTATGTAATGAGAAGGCTGGCTCTAAACAATATTCAAAAAAGTTACTCGTTAGGTAGCTATTGTATTTTCCTCTAATTTGGTCTTGAGGTCTCTCTCAGGAACATGGGTAAAAACTCTTGCCCTACCCTCCCAGGGCTCCAGGGATTTGGTCATGAATGTTTATAGTGTGTCTTTCATGGGACACTTCTGTATCAGCAGACAGCCTAATGCCTGGGTGTCCAACCCACGACAGGGTGTTCCTCTCACAGAAAACTTGTTTATACTGGGAGATGCCTTTGGGGCTCTTGTCTGACCTGTGTCCAGTTTATTCCTACCAAGACAGCCCCTCTCTAGGACAGCCCTGATGGAGAAAGAAGGTAGAAGGTAGATTTGGGTGTGTTGGTCAGGTGAGACACAGAAGAGGCAACTTAGCAAAACACACGAAATAACAGAAGAGCGTATTACTTACAGATCAGAGAAGAGAGGGAAAGAGCACCAACGGGAAGGGGAGAGCTGTCCAGGATATGCACTCAACCAGCATGTGGGGAGCAAGAGAGAGAGAGGGACCTTTGGTCCAAAGCCTTTATTGGGGTTCAGGGTGTTACCCAAGCAGGTTTCCCGAGGGGAGTTTTAATTGATGGGTTTAGAACAAGCAGGCAATAGTTCCAAGAGGTCACAGGCAACTGAGAGGTGGTTGCTGAGCATATCTGCACAGTTCGTATGAGGTGTGGGGGTCAGTGGGCAAGTCAAGTAAGTTGTATCTAGCTGTCCCCCAAGGAGGTGGTCACAAAAAGGCATTTGTATAAGCAGATATCTGGATCAGCCACAGTGAGGAAGTTGAAAGAGACAGAGAACTAGAAATTGTTGTCAAGGGTGACTAAGTCCTGCTTCTGGGATGAGAAAGTTCAACTTATACTCAAAGTGGATACATTTGAGTATACATGCATATAAAGGCAATATAAAATTATAAGAATTCACTATAGTAGCATCTTTTTAATTTTTGCCATATCTGGCTACTCCCTGACCTATTACTTGTAAGGCAAGAATAATATTTAATAATATCTCTCAATGCATTTACAATTCTCAGTAATCATTTTATTGTTCTTCTGAAGCTTTATTACATTAAGGCAAAGACCTGGGACTTATTGTCCTAGGGAAGAAGGCAACCCTGCCTAGAAAGGTCTAGGCCGTGACCAAAGGTGGGAATGGATTATGAAAAACTGAAAATCCCGGAGGAACCTTTTGTTCTATTTCCTGTTTGGAGTTCTGGAAAACACAGTAAAATGGGACATTGTGTGTTTAGACAAATAGAGATTCAAAGATAGCACACGCAAGTCTCTTTTTGCTCTCCTGTTCTGTGAAAGGTTTCTGGAAGTTTCCATATTCTCATAGTGATGGGCTTGGAAGGCAGCTGGGAGTTGAAGGCCAGTAAGTCTCACCTGAAAACATTATGGCAATGGGTGATCTAGGATCACGTAACTGTCCTTGGCTGCTTTATTTATAAGGAAATAACATAGATTCAGTAATTTATAAGTAATAGAAATTTATTTCTCACAGTTCTGAATACTGAGAAATTCAAGATCAAGGCACTGGCTGGTTTAGTGTCTGATGAGGGTTTGCTCTCTGCTCCACAGATGGCACCTTGTTGCTGCATCCTCACATGGCAGAAGGAGCAAAACCGCTGCCTTCAACCTTTTTAAGGCTGATCCCATTCACGAGAGCAGAGCCTCTGTGATTTAATCACTTCCCAAAAGGTCCCACTTCTTAATACCATTACTTTGGGGGTTAGGTTTCAACATATAAATTTGGGGGATACACCAAAATTCAGACCATAGAGTTCTGCTTCTGGCCGTCCGAAATGTATGTTCTTCTCACATGCAGAATGTATTCATTCCATCCCAGTAGCTCCCCAGGCCTTAACTTGTTCCAGCACCAATGCAAAAGTCTGAGGTCCAAAGTCTCATTTAAATCAAATATGACTGAGACTCAAAGGTGTGACTCATCCTGAGGCAAATTCCCCTTCAGCTGTGAGCCTCTGAAATCAAACAAGTTACATGCTTTGAAAATACAATGGTGGGATAGGCACAGGGCAGACATTTCCTTTCCAAAAGGTAGAAGTAGGAAGGAAGAAAAGGATAATAAATCCTGACTAACTGTAAAACCCAACAGGGCAAATATTAAGGCTCAAGAATAATCTTCGACTTGACATTTTACCTTCTAAACACTTGGGGGGTGGGGGGTAGTCCTGGCCATGACTTTGCTGGGCAAAACCCATATAGCATTTCTCACATATTGGAGTCACATGCCTATGGCTCTCCCAGGCTGGAATTGCACACTGGTGGCTCTACCAGTCTGGGGTCTTGGGGGTGGCTCTGCTCCCACGGTTTCACTGGGCATTGCCATACTGGGGTGGGGGCTGTCTGTGGTGGTCCTGCTCCTGTGATAGTTCTCTGTCTGGGCTCTGAGGCTTTCTGGGGCATCCTTTGAAATCTAAGTGGAGGCAGGCATGCCCTCAGGACTTGTGCACTCTGCACTTTGGTAGAGATAGCACTGCACAGACACCACCAAGATTTACTATATTGCCTTCCAGAGAGTGGCCCAAACTGCACATGGGCCTGCGTGAACCATACCTGGGGCAGGTGAGGAGCATTGCAGCAGAATGCAGGAAGTGGAGATTTGAGGCCACCTGGCGTCAAGGTCCTACAGGTGTCCAAGCTTCCTCTTTTGATATAGATATGTTGCCCCCAGCCTTGGCACTCTGTGCCTATGATAGGAAGGACAGCACAAATAAACACTGAAAGGCCTTTGGTGTCATTCTTTCATTATCTTGATAAATAGCACCTGATTTCTGCCTCACCGTACTAATCTCCTTATCAAACGGTTACTTAGCCACACCCTTGGTGTTCTCTCTTGAACACACCTTTCCACTCTATACAATATGACCAGGCTGAGAATTTTCCAAATCTTTAAGTTCTGCTTCCACATTTTATTATAAGTAGTCAAAATCCTCAACATTTTGCTTAGAGATTTCTTCTAGAACATGAACATGATTTGGCCAAGTTCTTTTGCCCCTTTGTAACAGAGATCATCTAGTCCTCAGTTGCCAATAACGTGTCCTTCATTTTCGTCTGAGACTTCATCAGAATGGCCTTTACCATCTGTATTTCTGTATTATCAACATTTTGATCACAACCACTTAGGTAATCTCTAAGAAGATGGAGGCTATTTCTACAGCTTCTTCAACCTCACCTTCTTCTGAACCCTCACCTGAGTTGCCCCTAAGGCTCCTTTCATGGCAGTGGACCTGTAAACTCTTTCCATCCTTTATTTATTATGCAGTTCCAAAGCTGCTTTCCCATTTTTAGGTTTTGTTATAAACACACCCTATCTCTCTGTGCCTATTTCTGTCTTTGTTGGTCTCTGCTGCTATAATGAAATGCCTTAGACGGGGTAATTTACGATAGAAATGTATTTCTCACAGTTCTGGAGCCTGGGAGGTCTAAGATCAAGGAACTAGCAGATATGGTCTCTGGTAAGGGCTACTCTCTGCTCCATAGATAGCATCTTGTTTCTGCATCCTCACATGGTGAAGGCAGCAAGGCACCTCCCTTCAACCTCTTTTTTATTTTTATTTTTTTATTTACTTTTTTTTGTTTGAAACTTTAATGAGAAAAAACATATACTATCGAGCTCAAGAATATGGTGTATTTGGTGTGCCATTGGGCCAAGGGTTGGGGATACATGTGGCAGAATTAGGAAACAGGATATACATCAACAAAAATTCACACGATCATGAGAAGGAAAACTGGCACTTGGCACAATCAACTCTCAGTTTCCTCATCATTCAGCAGCGTATTGGGAACCCTGCGAGTGAGGCAGAACACACGTCTAGACTCTGGGCACTGCAGGGTGCCCTCCAACACATCCACCTCCAGCAGCACATGGTACATCTTCCTCAGAAACTGTTCATCCTCCTCATATCCCTCAACTGGCCCTTTAGGCACCCCAGTCAGGTGCAAGGTATGTATCAGCTGCCTCCAGGAGCACCGGTCACTCCTAGGGTATCATACTGTGCCACTAAGTGAGGGTTGAACTCCAGAGGGCAGATGCAGACCTCAGTGGCCTGGAGGTGCAGGGGGAAGCCACAGGGCCCCACCCCCACACATGCAAGCTCAGCAGATTGTCTTCAACCTCTTTCATAAGGGCACTGATCCCAATGAGGGCTTTGCCCATATGGCTTAATCACTTCCAAAAAGGCCCCACCTCTTAATGTCATCACCTTGGGGATTAGGTTTTTAAACATATAAATTTTGGGGGCATTAATATTAAGATCATAGTAATGGGCATATGTGATGTACAAGCCTATCCCTCACATTTGTGGGACCTACAGCAAGAGTAAAAAATGAAAACCTACATACAATATTATAAATATTTAAAATGAAAAGCCAGGCACAGTGACTTATGTCTCTAATCCCAGTTACTTGGGAGGCTGAGGCAGAAGGATTGCTTGAAGCCAGGAGTTTGAGACCAGACTGGGCAACATAGTAAGACCCTATCTCTAAAACTTTTTTTTCTTAACAAAAGAAAAAGGTTTAATTGGACTCACAATTCTACATGGCTGGGAGGCCTCACAATCATGATGGAAGGCAAGGGGAGCAAGTCACATCTTACATGGATGGCGGCAGGCTAAGAGAGCTTGTGCAGGGAAACTCCCCCTTATAATACCGTCAGATCTCGTGAGACTTATTTACTATCACGAGAACAGCATGGGAAAGACCTGCCTCCATAATTCAATCATCTCCCATCAGGTCCCTTCCACACACATGGGAATTATGGGAGCTACAAGATGATATTTGGTTGAGTACACAGAGCCAAACTATATCATTCTGCCCCTGGTCCCTCCCAAATCTTTTATCTTCACATTTCAATACCAATCATGCCTTCCCAACAATCCCCCAAAGGCTCAACTCATTTCAGCATTAACCCAAAAGTCCAAGTCCAAAGTCTCATCTGAGACAAGGCAAGTCCCTTCTGCCTACAAACCTGTAAAATCAAAAGCAAGCTAGTTATTTCCTAGATACAATGGGGGTACAGGCATTGGGTAAATATAGCTATTCCAAATGGGAGAAATTGGCCAAAACAAAGGTGCTACAGGCCCCATGAAAGTCCAAAATCCAGCAGGGTAGTCAAATCTTAAAGTTCCAAAATGATCTCCTTTGACTCCATGTCTTACGTCTGGGTCACACTGATGCAAGAGGTGGGTTCCCATGGTCTTGGGCAGCACTGCCGCTATAGCTTTGCAGGGTACAGCCTCCCTCATGGCTGCTTTCACAGGCAGTTGTGGAGTGTCCTGAGTCTTTTCCAGGCCTACAGTGCAGGCTGTCAGTGGATCTACCACTCTGGGATGTGGAGGACGGTGGCCCTCTTCTCACAGCTCCACTAGCCAGTGCCCCAGTAGGGACTCTGTGTGGGGGCTTTGACCCCACATTTCCCTTCCACATTGCCCTAGCAGAGGTTCTCCATGAGGGCCCCACCTCTGCAGATTTGGGTGGGGACACAGAACCAAACCATATCATTGGGCAAGTCCTATAGGCTGAGAGAAATAGTTAAATAAAGGCCATTTAGAGAAGGGTCAGTTGACCTTAATATCAGAGGGCTCTCAGAAAGATATCTTGGTAAATACTCTTACACCTTTCCCCTTGACTCATAGCGGGACCACTCTAGGCCGGTCAACAGAAAGAATTGATCCTTTTCCCTGTGTGCTGTTTTACCAGAAACTTTACCCTACTCAGAGCAGGGACACAGATGGGGGTATTTTCCAAGCAAATCTCCAGTTTCCCACTTGACTGCTATGTGAGGAACCCCTGTTAAGAGAGGATCTGACCACTGAGCATGACTGGTAGTCTGAAGAGGAGTCTGCAGATGGACCCCATTCCTCACTAAAACCTGAGCATCCCACCCGAAGCCAGGGGCTCACTCCAGTTCTTCCCCACTCTTCCTGTGCCACTCCACACTCAGTTCAAATATTGGCCAGCCACGATGGCTCATACCTGTAATCCCAACACTTCGGGAGGCTGAAGCTGGCAGATTGCTTGAGCCCAGGAGTTTGAGACCAGCCTGGGTAACGTGGCGAAACCCCATCTAGTTCAAAGTGGCTGGGGAGGCTTCACAATTACGGCGGAAGGCAAGGAGGAGCAAGTCAAGTCATATCTTACGTGGACGGCAGTAGTCAAAACAGTCAAAATTTTTTAAAAAAATATAGCTAGTCAGATGACATACGCTTTTAGTCCCACCTACTCAGGAGGCTGAGATGAGAGGGACAGTCACTCAAGCCAAGGAGTTCAAGGCTGCAGGACTGATGATCATACCACTGTACTCCAGTCTGGACAACAGAGCTAGACCCTGTCTCTTAATAAATAAATAATTATTTAAAATAAAGAAATCAAGAAAAACTGTTCAATAAAATATGCTCTATGCTCTTACCTTTAAATATGACTTCATGAGGACAAAATAAAAAATATTTGTAAAACTCTGATTTTTTGGTGACTAGAAGTCAACAAATACCAAAAAATTCCTAAACATAATTATAGTACATATCTAAGTGTTCTTTTGATAGGCCAGTAATGTTTCAAATGAGTATAAAATAAAGACGTTCATAATTTATAAATTATTATATATTTATTATGTGTTTCATTTTAGCAAAATAACTGATTATGTTGTTTATTATAACCTATTTTCACATAATTTCTGTTCTATTGACAGTCATTTCTAAGGAAACATCTTTCTTTCAGTCATAATAGTTGTTAGGGTGTTTCTTAGTCATTTCAATTTGGAGAAATTTCGTTCTGCAGAGGCTATAGAAACTGAATGGTCAAAACATTTTTATAGTAATACTTAAATTCAGAAATAAAACATGAATATATGTATCAAGATAAACTATTGAAAGTTTGTAAATAATAAATTATTATAACTGCAGAAAATATTATAAAATATTTAATTTCGTTATATAAATTTCTATCAATTATATTGTGATTTTCACTTTCCAAGTGATATCAACATCAATACATTTATGCAAAGACGGGACATCACACTTTACACCTATTTATCTAAATACAGATACAGATCTAAGATTAACATAAACTATATGCAAAATGTTCTTTAACTGCCACATGCAAGTATTGCAAATATTACGCTAATCCTGAATACCTCCAGGATCACAAATTCGAACAAAAAGAGAGAAAAAAATACACATTATATTATTGGGAAGAACATTTTGTTACCCAAGAATCTGTTGCATTTGTGCTGTCTGAGGGGAATCAATGGTAATTATTTGGCCTTGTCTTTTGCAGAGAAAATCCAAAGATTAATTATCCTACATCAACACTGATATAGCACAAACCTTCCCAGTACTGGAAAGCTATTTCCTTTTGTTTCATGAACATAAGATAAGCTATGTGGGACCTGAAACTGAGGTGCTAAGTGACATCTCTTGAATGCTAAGTAACAGGGACACCCATGTATTATTTCATAAACTTGTAAGGATGGGGGCAGTGTATGTGATATGTAAGGAGGGTGATTGTCTAAAACAAAAAAACAGGTGCCCTTCACAATTTTTCTGTAAATCTAAAACTATTCTAAAATAAAAAATTATTTAGAAAACATGTTTTTAAATAAAACACATATTATTTGTTTAATTAGTCCTCTATTAATTACTATTGATCTATTGATTGTCACCATTAACTACTCCTATTGTTGTTTTAAATAATAGCATTTATGCACAAAAATGTAAATAATACAGAATACTATACACTTTAAAAGAAATGCTTATTGTATATATTTCATGATAAAATAATAACACATGTGTAACTATTATATATCATATTATTCTGGGTTTTTGGTCTGGTTTCTTTTTCTGAACAGTACTTCAAGGCTAGTGTCAATCCCCTGATTTCACTGATATTTTAAAATAAGACTAATAATTAGCAAGTTGCCTGCATGATATATAAGGATGGTGCTCAAGTGAGCCTGTAAATATTTTAAACCTTTGGGAATTAAAACTTCTAAAATGATTGTTTTGAAGTTCAAATTGAGGTAGAAGGCTGGACTCAACACCAGAGGTGGGGCTCTGACACCAGACCAAATTGAGGACTAGCTAAAACAGGGATGAGGCAGAAGCAGTTTTCCATAAGACATGCCTAACAGTGTCCCATGACAGCTTACCATGGCCATGGCAACACCTGGTAGTTGCCGCTCCTTTCCATGGCAATGAACTCATGACCCAAAAGTTGTCAACCTTTTCCTGGCAATTTCTGCATAAACCACCCCTTAATCTACATGTAATTAAAAGTAGGTATAAATATGACTGCAAAAACTGCCCTGAGATGCTACTCTCAGCACACTGCCTATGGGGTAGCCCTGCTCTGCAGGAGCGGTCACAGAACTGTAACACCACCAGAGCTCTAACACTGCTGGAGCTATAATACTGCCACTTAAATAAAGCTATTTTCTTCTACCCCACCACCAGGTTGCCCTTTAATTATTTCCTAGGTGAAGCAAAGAACCCTTGCAGGCTAAGCCCTACTTTGGGGCTCACCCACCCTACATCAAAATGATATGTAAAATATAGATGATAAGAAGAGTAGTATAAATTCTAACATAATAAATTTTCATATGAATTCAGTGTCTTTTCAGAAATACATTGGAATGTTACTTACAGGAGTTGACAATTATTTAGTATATGAAAGAATGTTTATCCTACATATTCAGGCTATTGCAATGGAAGTGAAATATATTTATTGCCTATATGAAAGAAATATATTTATATGGATAGATGCCCAACTGCATGAAGATTTTAGTGAAATTCCTAACTAGGTAATTAAAAATGTACTGAATTTTTTATTTTTTTCTCAGTCTTGTGAAGAAAAGGGAATGATAGTAAATGTTTGTTATTTTATGCTGAAGTTTATTTATTTTCATATCAAAAGTTCTCATTCCTCTATTCAAGTTGCTGAAAGAACTTTAATATTAAATGACTTCATTAGTCTGTGGTAAAGAATAGACAGCTCAATTTTATATTGTTTACGAAAAGGAGAATCTGGCCAGTCATCAGCCAAAGTTAGCAAAAGAAAGGGCAAAGCTTAATTGTCTTAGTATGGACTTCGATAATTGGAAAAGCTGGGAAGATGATTCAGAAGAAGACATGTCTAATTTTGATCATTTCTCTGAGATGATGTGCTGAGACCAGCTTGGTTGTGGAGACCCTAACCCAGCGGCACTAGAGGAATTAAAGACACACACACAGAAATATAGCATGTGGAGTGGGAAATCAAGGGACTCAACAGCCTTCAAAGCTGAGAGCCCCGAACAGAGATTTACCCACATATTTATTGACAGCAAGTCAGTGGTAAGCATTGTTTCTATAGATTATAGATTAACTAAAAGTATTCCTTACAGGAAACAAAGGGATGGGCCAAAACAAAGGGATGGGCTCTGGCTAGTTATCTGCAGCAGGAACATGTCCTTAAGGCACAGATCGCTCATGCTATTGTTTGTGGCTTAGGAACACCTTTAAGCAGTTTTCTGCCCTGGGTGGGCCAGGTGTTCCTTGCCCTCATTCCGGTAAACCCACAACCTTCAGCGTGGGCGTCATGGCCATCACAAACATGTCACAGTGCTGCAGAGATTTTGTTTATGGCCAGTTTTGGGGCCAATTTATGGCCAGATTTGGGGGCCTGTTCCCAACAATGATGAACAACATGGGTGGTGAGGAGGATGTGGATTTACCAGAAATCAATGGAGCAGATGCTGATTTAAAAGACAGTGATGGAAAAAATGCCAGATCTGGAGTAAGGAATATTGTCATCACCTAGATTTTGAAAAAGAAAAGCAACTTCTCTGCAAGATTTCATAATTGACAGAATACCTGAGTTGACAGCTCTGAAGGCAGTTGCTGTATTTGCCTGCTTTAACCCATTTGTCAACTTGTTTGCGTTTTTAAAGGCTTCACTGAGGGTTAATATGTACCATTTGGATGGGGCAATTTGAAGTCAGCTAAGGCAGTAACCTTATGCATGAACATTTCCCAGACTTCTGTGAAGCTGTTGCAGTCCCAGGCAATTGATGCAGCAGTTGTGATAAATAAAACATATCATCTAAGTCTCCTTTTCTTCATAATGTAGATACTGATAGGAAGCTCTCAGCTTATGGAAAGATAACTAAATTTAGGGTATAGAATATGGACTTAAAAGCAGAGGAAGCAAATTGGCTGACACCTTAAATTGATAACCTGCTGTTCTTCTGGTGTATACTTCAGGACTAGTCTACTAACATTTAGTGTTCAAAAACTTCACTTCACACTATTGTATGTAAGTGATCACTTGCCAGTGTGCCAGATCTATCTTAGCTAAAACTAGTAAATGACTTAACTTAGATGGTTTCTGAAACCTGTACATTTGGTATTTTTTGGCCCATAAGCTTTTAATTCTCTTAGCATGGAGGATGAAGGAAGCTGTACATTGTTGCTTGAGAGTCTGCAGCTTTAGACCAGATTTATATTTGCACTGGAAGTATGGCAAGTGAGTGAAAAAAATGTTAGTGCACTTTGGATTTTGAATTTCCTTTTTTTTTAAATTATTCTGCTTGTACCAAGGCTGAAAACCTCAATTTATGTTAGTGACAGTAGAGATTTTTTTTATGTCTACATTCTTTCTAATAAACTGCTGGAAGACTTCTTGGCTGTCCTTTTAAGTGTCTGGCTTACTGTAATTTTATGTATTTACCATTGACTGTAATGTATTTTTATTTGAGGAAGAATTTCGGATTTTTCTGCTGTTTGGAAAAAAAGGCTTGCTGCAATGTCATAGGAAACCTTTTAAAAGTGGATCTGTAATAGAAAATTTTACATGCACTTTGCTGCAACTGGAAAAGAAAGCATTGTGATTTTATTGAAATATAACTAAATGTGTTGTCCTCCTCTAAAAAAGATAATAATAATTCAAGATTTGAACAAAAACTTGAAAGAGGTGATGACATTGTTCATCTCTACAACAGTATTCATGACTTGGACTGGACATGCAAGTTAACATATAATGCAAATTGATCTGCTTATTTGAACAACCTGAATTTATACTTATAAATCAAATTTATATCAGTCAGTGTTCTCCATACAAGACAACATGAGTATGGCCATTGTAAAGCTAGCAAGGTGAACGAACACCTTAATCATAATATATTTGATTTATTTGATTCTTTTTATCTTTTGAATTACCAAATTTCATCAGAAGTTTCTGAAAACAATCAATTGTGAAGAGTCATTTGAAAGAGTTGAAAAAAATCAAAGATAATTATAGGAATTTTCCTGACTTTTAGCTCTAATAGGAATATTGCGGCAGCTTAGTTTTAAATTACCCCACTCTTCCTAAAAACCAATCAGAGTTACAAAAAAAGGCACACTTTCGGTGAAACAAGAAGACAGATAAATCTAACAAATTACAAATATTCACTCCCAGAAAGAGACAACACTATGAGAAGAGGAAGCATCTGTGAGGAAATCAATCTCCAGGTGAGGCAGAAAGAGAACTGTCAGAAATAGAGAGTGGGACCCATAAGTGGCAGAACTCAGTAAGCCATTATGGTGGACACACTGATGCTGCACTGAGATCCTCCTTCAGAAATCAAGGATTTGTAATCCAGCTGTTGAAAGCACTGCTGGGAAACAGCACTCAGCTGTCAGCCATCTTCAAGGATTACCTTAGCTGAATAAAGCCGCCTAAGGTATGCCCCAACACAATGGCTATTATCAAAAAAGAAAAACAAAAAGAAAAAAGAAAAAAACAAGTGTTGATGAGAACGCAGAGAAATTGGAACCCTTGTGTATTGCTGTTGGAAATGTAAAATGGTGGAGCCATTATGAAAAACAGTATGATGGTCCATCAAAAAATCAAACATAGAATTACCATGTGATCTAATAATTCCACTTTGGGTATATATCCAAAAGTATTGAAAAGCAGGGCTTAAACACATCTTTATATACCAATGTTCATAGCAGCATTATTCAAAATAGTCAAAAGGTAGAAAAAACCCCAATGTCCACCAACAGATGAATGACTAAATAAAATGATGAGTAAATACACATACAATGGAATATTATTCAGCTGTAAAAAAGAAAATTCTGACACATGCTACAAAATAGATAAACTTTGAAGACATTACATTAAGTGAAATAAGCCAGACACAAAAGGGCAAATAAGGATTCTACTTATATGAGAAACATAGAATAGTTAAATTCACAAAAACAGAAAATAAAAAGGTGTTTCCAGGAACTAGGGTAAGGGGAAAATGTTATTGTTTAATGGATATAAAGTTTTAGTTTGGAAAGATGAAAAAATTCTGGAGATAGACAGTTGTAATGATAGCATATCATTGTGAATGTTCTTAATGCCACTATACAGCATATATATTATAGAACTAAAAATTTTATGCCTGTTTTTTGTTGTATCTATTTTATCACAATAAAAAAGTCAGTATCTTTTACAAAGTTTTGTTCATAGTTTTTAATTAAGCAAAAATTTATCTAGATTCCTTTTTTGCTTAAATTTTTTTATTTTTATTTTAGATTCAAGGGTAAGTGTGCAAGTTTGTTATACAGGTAAACTCATATGACAGGGATTTATTGTACAGATTATTTTGTCACCCTTGTACTAAGCATAGTACCCAATAGCTACTTTTCCTGTTCCTCTCTTTCCTGCCACCCTCCACCCTCAAATAGGCCCCAGTGTCTGTTGCTCCCCCCTTTGTGTCCATGTGTTCTCATCATTTAGCTCCCACATATAAGGGAAAACCTGCAGTATTTGGCTTTCTGTTCCTATGTTAGTTTCTTCCAACTCCATCCATGTTCCTGCAAAGAACACGATCTTGTTCTTTTTTTGTGGCTGCTTAGTATTCCATCGTGTATATGTACCACATTTTCTTTATTCAGTCTATCATTGGTGGGCATTTAGGATGATTCCATGTCTTTGCTATTGTGAATAGTGTTGCAGTGAGCATATGCATGCATGTGTCTTTATGATAGAACAATTTCTATTCCTTTGGGAATGGAATCCTAGTAATGGGATTGCTGGGTCAAATGGTAGTTGTATTTTTAGCTCTTTGAGGAATTGCCACACTGCTTTCCACAATGGTTGAATTTTATACTCCCACCAACAGTGTATAAGCATTCCTTTTGCTCTGCAACCTCACCAGCATCTGTTATTTTTTGACTTTTTAATAGTAGCCATTCTGACTGATGTAAGATGGTATCTCATTGTGTTTCTGATTTGCATTTCTCTAATGATCAGTGATGTTGAACTTCTTTTTATATGCTTGTTGGGCATATGTATGGCTTCTCTTGAAAAGTGTCAGGTCATGTCCTTTTCTATTTTAACTCTGGCAACATTAGTGTGCCAGATTAAGGGCTTTTTTTTTTTTTTAAAGATTTTATCATGTAATTTAATTTTAAATATTTTTTTTTTATTTTCCTGGTATGTGAAAGGCTAAAAAATATAAAGAACTGGTTTGGACTGGAAATATCCTCTATAATATAGAAAAAATGTATTTTACTAGACATCAATAAAAATCCAGGTTGTCTTTTAAAAAATTACCAGGAATAATTACATCTCCAGGATCGTACTACTAAACTTTCTAAAAAGGAGGTAATTTTTATTGTAATTAAACTATTATATTAAAAAAGAAATTTTTAAGATTCTGTTTATGAAAGAAGTACATTGGTATAATATCTAACCCAAAAATATCATGAAAAAGGAAACAACAGTTTAATCCCATTTATTAATGTTAATTAAGAATACATCATGACCAAATGAGTTTCATTTCTCAAATGCAAAGATGACTAAATACTAAAAAATAACTTATTCCATTTAGATATCCAGAGAAAAACCATAGAATTATTTCTGATGATGCTAAAAAGGCACTTGAAAAACAATTCAAAAAATTCTTAGTTTAAAATATTTTTCATAGACTATACATCAAAGGATATACATGAAGCCAAACACCAACATCATACTATATAGGCAAAAACATTCCTCCTAAAGTCCCAAACAGGAAATAAGAAAATTACACCCATTATGACAACTATTATATAACTTTGGACTGGAGGTGTTAGCCATTACATGATTATTACTCATATAGTCAAAGGAGATGTTCCTATTGACTGGGTCTATGAAATATGACCACTTCTATAACTGAAAGAGGAGGGAGGCTATTAGTCTCACTCAACAAAATGGAATGATTTTACTCTAAACAGAGGGAGTATCAGAAAGCAGATAGAAGGAAAAGAGTTTAGGCACACACAACCAAAGTGTCCTCAATTTACTTCCACTACTCTAATTCTTCACTGGCTCCCCACCTACCTACAAAACGATTCAAAATATATTTCTTGTCATCCATCTTCACCTTGATTATCCACCAATCACCTTCCACTTCCATACATTGCAATTTAGTAGCTCAGAAATATCTGGGCTATGACTTGCCCCTTAGAGAAAACCCCTCAGAGTTGACCTTGGACAAGGTTATTTGGATTGCACTATGCCCAGGACCATAAAATTATGTCCTGCAAGCCAAATAACCTACAGCCTATTTTTTGTACTGCTTGTGGGTTAAGAATGGCTTTTACATTTGTAAATACTTGGAGAAAAAATAAAAAGAAAATATTATTTTGTGATGCAAAGACTATATGCAAATTTTAGTGTCCATAAATCAAGTTTAATTGAAACACAGACAGTCATTCATTATTCATTACACACTGTCCATAGGTGTTGCTGTGCTATCATGGCAGAGCTGAGTAATAGTGACAGCGACCTTATGACTTGCAATACTGAAAATATTTGCTATCTAATACTTTACAGAAAGAGTTTGCCAGCTCCTAATCTAGAGACACACAATCCCCTCATCATGGCTGTGTCCTCAAGTTGCAATTCTGTGAATTTCATATGGTTCCTTTCCCATAGCTGAGAATGCCAAAATGTTGGACATTTTTAAGCACAAAAATAAGTTTATTTAATTTTATTAGATTTTGCTGAATTATTGATCGTAGACCCATTCTATGATCTTATATCCATATCAACTTCCATATTGCCTTAAACTAATAGATTATTTTCCCAGATCTAGTTTTCCAATAATAATTGCATTACTATTTTAAAATATCAGAGATCTAAGCATATTTAATTTGAGTTTCAGGACATCAACAAACATCAACCTCTGATTCATTTCATGTCTCTTTTATAAGCCAAGGCATTCTGTAGTTTATCAGTGGTAGTCTTTTTTCCCTTATGTATTGCTATGATTGCAAACTGGAATATTTTAGGTCAGGTAGAACTCTAAGTTTATTTCTACAAATATGGGACTCTCAGCGTATGATATTGGGTTAAGTAGAAACCATTTTTCCCTTTTAAAATTAAGGCGACCATTCTCAGTCCTCTTGCTGTTCTCTTGCTGTGACTTCCTTCTTACAGTAAAAGATCGAAGACATTCCTCTGTGAAGGGCAGGAGTGTAGGAGCTGGTGAAGGAGAGACTGTCCAGAACCTCCCGCTCATGCAGTCCAAGTCTCTAGTGCAGAAGCTGCAGTGCTCCTCAAAGACCTTGTAGCTCAAGGACTTTCCCTAGCTGCAATATTCCAAGGATACTGGGCTTATATCTTGAGGTTGGTGCCAAATGACCCCATGGATGACGGAGGTCTGAACCTTCCCCAAGTGGGACATGATGAGCTTTCTTGGGAGACCGACAACAACAAAAACACCCTTCTCCTGTGGTACCGCATCTCTGTTGAGGACAGACTCCATGGAGATAATGCCAAGGAGTCAGGAATACCATCAGAGGAGGGGTACTGTGAGTTTACTAGCAGACCAAATGAGAACTGTTACTGCTGTCAACTTCTGTGACAACAAAATGAACAAAAAAGAAAGGTAAACTTTGTGGTGTCAGCACTGTAGTAAGCAGAAAATCTGTAAGGCTCCTAAGAACATCCTGGTTGCTGGCAGCCATTTCTTTAAGACTTTATATAGTGTTAAAAACTAAGAAAGCCCTAACCGAAATAATACTACCCACTTAGATACTGCAGCAGTCAAAATTTTTCAGTCCTTGTGGACTTCTTGTATTCTGGTAACCTGGTACTCACAAGCCAAAATAATGACAGTGGCCTATCTTCAAACAAGTGAAATTTCAAACTTGCTGAAATTTTATTACAGATGCCTAAATTTATTAAAGATTAAATATAAGCATTAAATCAGAAGTTCCATGGGTCTGCAGTTGTGGACTATAATAATAGAAAACCAGGCCGGGCATGGTGGCTCATGCCTGTAATCCCAGCACTTTGGGAGGCCAATGTACATGGATCACTTGAGGCCAGGAGTTCAAGATCTGCCTGGCATACATGGCAAAACCCTGTCTCTACTGAAAATACAGAATTAGCCAAGGATGGTGGCTCACGCCTGTAATCCCAGCTACTCGGGAGGCATGAGAATTGCTTGAACCTGGGAAACAAAAGTTGCAGTGAGCCAAAATTGTGCCACTACCCTCCAGCCTGGGTGACAGAGCAAGACTGTCTAAACAAACAAACAAACAAACAAAACTCAGTTAATAGAGATGGTCTGTCTTCATCATTGGATCAAAAAATTGCCAATTTTTGGGCAACATTAAATCTTACCAATTTGGCAAGTAATATAAAAACTGAAAATGATGGCTGTAATGTCAACAAGGGCCAAACAGAAAACTACCAAGTGAGTGACAATAGTTGGGTCCAGAATGCATCTCCTGAAATGGCTGAAAACAAATCCAAAGGTCAAACAAGTGTTTGCTTGGAATAATATGGGCTCCCAGGGAATTCAAGAAACTGGGAAACACGGAGGAAAAACCAAACTACAAGGAGATTTATTTATAATACATCATCTAATAATGAAACAAATTTGGAAGATTACTCAATGATGCAGCCATCTATTGCCTTTTCAGAGGAAAATACGCTACTCATATTTGAGTAGAAATCTTGGAAGAACCAGATTTGGATGTTGCTCTACTTTCAGGGCCAGATGATGATAAGAATGTATTGGCTGAAGCTGGGTCTAATCAAGATGGAGGTGATGTTAGAACTTCACATGATTTTATAATAAGTATGGTTTGATGCCTGGCACTTCAAGTGACTTCAAGTATGAATTGATACCAGATACTTTGATTTCAAATATGGATTATTGCCAGAATCTTGGCCAAAACAAGAAACTTGGGAAAATGGTGAATCATTCATGTTAGGTTGTTCTTGTGTTGCTATAAAGAAATACCTGAGACTGGGTAATTTATAAAGAAAAGAGATTTAATTGGATCATGGTCCTGCAGGCTTTACAGAAGCATAATGCTTGCATCTACTTGGCTTCTGGGGAGGCCTCAGGAAGTTTACAATCATGGCAGCAGGTGAACGGCGAGGAGGCATCTCACATGGCGAGAGAGGAGGCAAGAAAGAGTGTGAGGATGGGGAGGAGGTGCCACACACTTTTAAACAGTCATATCTCTTGAGAACTCACTCACTATCATACTCTCATGAGGACAGTACCAAGCCATGAGGGTCCACCCCCATGACCCAAACAACTCCCACCAGGCCTCACCTCCAACACTAGGGATTACATTTCAGCATGAAATTTGGGCACAACAAATATCCAAACCATATCATCATCTCTAATCATGAATAAGTTAAAATGCCATCATTGTAGCTATGCAGCCAAATGCAAACAAACACTAAAAAAGCACTTGCTTATTCATACAGGAGTGAGATCATTTAGCTGTGACTTTTTACACTTGGAGAAAACATGTAAGAAAACATTTCTTGGTGCATAAGAAGGATAAAAATGTAAATGTATGGTATGTAAGATCATGTTAGCAGCCAGTGTTGGAGTAAGACATGGATCTTGACCCTATGGTTTTTGTGTAGACTGTTCCAATAAATCACAACCAGGAAGGCCAGCAAGTGTAGATGAGAGACAGGATACAGAATCCCTCATGATAAAGACTATGAGGAGAATGAAGTAGGAGAAGCTGATGAAAAGTGGGTGGATGATGGAGATCAGAATGATCCATCTCAATGAGATGAATTAGCAGATGTTTGTATGTCTCTAGATATTTAACTGACCCACTATATTCCTCAAGGATACTGCATTTGGACATAATACAAATTGGCAGTTTGGAATGTTGAACTTAAAGTCTTGCAAAATGTGGTACATGCTAGATGGTAGTTATGTTGCTATGAGGACTATATGATCAAAGCCTTATAGCAAAAAAAATTTTTTAATATTTGCAAAGGACTGTACAGCAAACAACCATGTGGTTGAATTACATGCAGTCCTCATATATTCAGTTGGTTATCAAACTAAAGTATTTTTTATTTATGGGATGTACAGTAACTATTGGGTCTTACGGAAATATAGTACCTGTCCTTATAGAGCTCACATTCATGTGCTACTCTAACATGACTGAAGAAATTCATTATGGAAGTACAGTGATAGTTGACCCAATCACTCAGTTTATCAAACTCCCCAGGCTAGCCTGTACTAGTAGAGTTGTGTTTCTATTTTTATTTTTTACTTTTATTAATTTTATTTTTAATACAGATTTTCAGTAAGGGGCATTTTCAACCTAATTGGTTCTATTTTCTTGTATTTTCCATTTTAATTTGCTTCATAACTTAAACCAAGGCTCTTCTAGTCTTAGTTATTATGTCTCAATTATGTGCCAATGGGCATGTTTTTAAGAACTGAAGAGGTAATTTATTGCAATGAACTAACTGACCTCCTCCATTCCTTCTTTCCTTTTTGACATGAATTTTACTACCCCACAAATGAAAAATGATGTTGCAAAGTTACTGTGGTGAAGTTGAAAAATATCACTAAAATGATTATAATTTAGTATTAATTTTCTCCTGCTGCTCTAATCTGATAAATTCTTACTATATAGTGTTTTCTGACATGGTATTTGGTTTTATATCTGTTACTTTGGTGCTATTCTTGTTTGCCTTTTCTTATTTTTGCCAGTGTACTATACCTCAGTCCTATTTAGAAGACCTGATGGAAAGAAAAGTCATGTAAATAATAAGTAAAATGATTTGTTTTATGATTTATTCACCATGTCCAGTTTGGTTAGCTTGTTATGCAGTATAAGTGAAATATCAGGTTTTTACCCTATGCTCTTTTTAATCATTAAAATTAATACAAAATGTGTGTGTGGCAGCTGGGGGAGACATTCCGCCATGAAAATTGAGAGAAGGTCCTGGTAAAGAGATTTGCTTCTTTATTTTCTAGGAATATCTAGTCTTCTTAGAGTTGACTGGTCACATCTGGAATGAGGTGCTTCCTGAGAAATCTCTGGATCTCCTTCCAAGCATGTTCCTGTGCAGCTGCGTGTGGGATCACCTCTCCTCCCCAGTGTAACCTCAAATCGTGGGTCGTTGAGGCACAGCACAGAGGAGAATAGGGAGGTTCTATCAGGTGGCCTGCCCCAGGGTAAGATAGCAGGGTCCAGTTGTTCTTCCCATGTCTCTTCAGCTGTCCTATGGCTTGTTCAGCGTGTGCTTTGCTGTTGATAGTCTTATCACCTTCTCCTACAATGAAGAGGAATTGCCCCTGGGCCTCTTCAATAGGAAACAAATATTGACTGGCCCCAACTTGAGTTGTCTCAAAAGTGCGATAGAGCTCTAGTAACCCCAAGGCATTGGTGGATATTAATTGTGCAGAATGGGGAAGGGGCTGATGGATCTGACCATGATATACCTGTGGAATGCCAAAAGGAAAGTTGGTCCCATTAATAAGTACCGTGGCTGTGACTTGCTTTAGGTAAATAGCCATAGATAGTCCAATCTGTACTCCTTGACATACAGAGACTACCCCAACGCCTGAGCCAAAGACCTGAAAAAAATAATAGAAATGAGAAATTATTCTAGCCTTCATTTAGGAAAACTCCACAATCTCAAACAACCAAAGAACTTCACTGGCTAATGAGAACAAAGCAAGTATTAATCCTACCCACATCCCTAGCTATAGAGTTCTGGAATATATAATATGTATTCAAAAGAAATACTCCAAAAATATGTCAAGCTTTACTGACTATATATTACGGATTCAGTATTGTGTTAGGTTCTGAGTTTAAAATGCCCTAAAGAAATGCAAATGTCGCAGGGAAAGTAAGAAATGGCACATGACTATTGTGAATAATGTGGGTCAGGGTATAGATGATTGGTACACTTTCCTCCCTTCAGAGGACAGGGCACCTTGTAGGAAGAGACTGAGAAAGAAAGTGAGATCAGTAGGATAGAGTTGAACAGAGGATTCTAGATTTGCTTTGTTTTTTCCAAAAGTTTTCTCATTGTGGAGAAAAATGTCATAAAGGAGGCTTGGCTCAGCTTCCTCCCTCATTGTCAGTCATCAAATAAGCATCCTTAAATTATCTATCCTACGGCAAGCACTGGGAGTCACAGAGAGAAAAGGAACAATCTCTTGTCATTAAGGAACTCACTGCCAGATGAAGACACAGGAGGAAAAAAAAAACACAACAGATGATTGGAGCATCATAAATTCTATGATATGAGAATGTATGTAGGCTAGACTGCCAACCCAGATTAGCAGGGAATAAAGGCAGGATCAAAGAAAGGCTCTCAGAGGAAATGGGCTACAAAACAAATGAGTCTTCGTATTAAAAAATGAAAGCCAAGCCTGGTTAACATAGTGAGACCCTATCTCTACAAAACTAAAAAATTAGTTGAATATGGCGGTGTGTGCCTGTAGGCCCAGCTACTCAGGTTGAGGTGGAAGGATCACTTGAGCCCAGGAGTTCAAGGCTTTAGTGAGCTATGATTGTGCTATTGTACCCCAGCCTGGGCAATAGAGTGAGACACTGTCTCAAGAAATAAAAATTACAAGAAAGTCAACAAGAAGGAATGGTATTCTATGCTGAGTATAGCAGACTCTGTTAGTTGCCTACACAGGAGCCATTCTCCACAATTTCAAAGCTAATATGACCTTGATTTTGTGTGGCATAGCAATATATCCAGCCCCAAGGGATAAATTCTGATGGATCCTAATCTATTTCCCTTTCTCAGCCTCTCTTCCAAGGCCAACATATTCTACCTAAGGGCTTTTTTTGCCCCCCGTGCAAAATGACACAGAATCATGAAGAGAAAGCCTATGTTTATGATCATTCTTTTCAGACTAGGATGCTGGCCTGTTGACTTAATTCCTGAAACTGCCAGAGTCATTTTGTGACTTTCAGAGTAAGGCTAGAAAATTGCAGAAATGTCAATCTAATCTCCTTGATTGAAAACTACACTGAGTTTCTAAGCCAAAGTTTGAACCACCTATCACCAAACCTGTTATGTAAGAGAATAAGATACCTTATGCTGATGTTTAAGCCACCATCAGCCACTTTTCTGAGAAATGTAGCCAAAACATTCCTAATGTATTCACCATAGGAGAAACTCATGCAAAAACTGAGAGGCAATGAAGAGCAAGGCATTTAGAGGAACCACAAGTCATTCTTCATTATTTTAATTTAGAGTATAAGGTGGGAAATAACATAATAAGTCTGAAACAGAAAACACCAACTTTATGGTGCATAGCTTTGAAAGATATATAAAGCATCTTCAGTTTTTTTCCTAACTAAGGAGGAAAATTAGGACAAATTTTAAGGATGGGCATAAGATAAGACTGAATAAGTATGCAGAAGTCAGATCATAGGAAGCTTTGTCTAACATGCTAGGAAGCCTGGCCTTTATCCTATAATAAATAGGGAGACTCTTAAGCAAGCGAGTAAAATAGTTGTGTTTACAACTCTGACTTGCATAAATGGAGGCAGAAAAGCCACAGATTAATGCACTGATAAAAGCATAAAATTATACTGTCCTGAACTAAGGTAACAGCAGTAAAAATGAAAAGGAAACTACATGTTCATGAGTTATTTTTGAGTATTGAGTGTATTGCTCCCAGTTACCAATTTGGTTGGGAATTCTAAGGAGGAGTTAAAGAAAATTGTTGTGTCACAAAATAAAGCTCCGATTCTCCTTGAGCACTGGCTCCTGGCAAGGACAGAGTCCTAGAGAGAAGCATCACTTTTCTAAAACCTTTGTTGACTTCCTGTATTTATTTTAATTGATCTCCTATATTTTAAAGGCATTTTATAAACCAATGTTTGGGATATTTTCCCTACTACTTAGAAACACATGAATCAATATACAACTCATGCCAAGCTGATGAAAATGTGAGAAATTCTTAGGGTAAGAGGGAAAAAAAAAACTAAACAAATGGAATGAGTCATATATACTCTCTATTTCCTACCCTGTATATTTAACAGGGGTGGCTTGAATCAATTAAAAGTTCCTTTCAAGCTCTGAAATTCTGTATTTTTTTAATTTTAATTTTAATTTATTATTTTTTACTTTATTTTTATTTTTTGAGACTGAGTCTCATTCTGTCACCCAGGCTGGAGTGTGGTGGCTCAATCTCGGCTCACTGCAACCTCCGCCTCTCAGGTTCAAGCAATTCTCTGGCCTCAGCCTCCCGAGCTGGAACTACAGGCGCCCGCCACCACACCTGGCTAATTTTTGTATTTTTAGTAGAGTTGGGTTTTCTCCATGTTGGCCAGGCTGGTCTTGAACCCCTGATCTCAGGTGATCTGCCCACCTCGGCCTCCCAAAGTGCTGGGATTACAGGCATGAGCCACTGTGCCTGGCCTAATTTTTATTTTTAATTGACAAATAATAATTATACATATTTATGGTGCATAATGTGATATTTCAGTGCATATATACATGGTGGAATGAACAAATCAGGCTGATTAACATATCCATTACCTCACAAACTTACCATTTCTTTGGGGTAAGAACATTTAAAATCTAATCTTTTAGCAATTTGGAAATATACAATACATTATTATTAACTATAGTCACCATGCTGTGCAACAGATCACCAGATCTTAGTCTTCTTGTCTAACAGAAACTTTGTACCCTTTGACCTACCTTTCTCCCCCACCCCTCCCAATCCTATATCTTAATATATAAGATAGAGAGCGACAGTTATGTTAAGGAAAGATGGGAACTCAGAGTGGATTTGGCCATGAAAGATAAAGTAAAAGCAAGTATAACACGAAAGAACAAAAAAGCATGACTCATATCTGTGCAGGCTTTTTAATATGTTTCTGTCCCTTGCCAAAACAGTAACTCTTGTTACAACTTCTACCACAAAATTTGGGATCAGGAAATTATGAGTTCTTAGAAGTTACTTAAAATCAACACATAGAGAAATAAGACCTGCAAGAAAGATCTCTGTTCTATCATCCTGCAGAAGAGACAATGTGAAGTAGGTTTAATGGAATTTCTCAGAGTCTGGGGAAAAAAATCTGGTTTCCAGGCCTGGATTAATCATTAACTAGCTATCTATGTGACACTGGCAAGAACAGTGATGAAAAAGTCATGCAGCAAATATAAGGGGAACGAGGCAAAGACCGTGAAAAAAGAGAATCACATAACCTCTCCACTTCTCATCTAAGCCAAGAAGAAGGCTCACAATGATAATATTGACTGACATTTCGAGGGCAGTTCCATTATATGCATCAAAAATAGCCATTTAAAATGTTCACTACATCAGTAGATTGTCAGTAATTGTTGCTTATCTTATTTCTGCAAACCTGATTATATTTTGGTGATCCTTATATAAAAAAACATGTAGTATGGAGATTTAATTTTATTTCAATTCTTATTAAAAAAAAAAATAGAGGCCAAGGCAGGTGGATCACTTGAGGTCAGGAGTTGGAGACCAGCTTTCCCAATATGGCAAAACCCCGTCTCTACTAAAAATACAAAAATTAGCCAGGTATGGTGGCACGCGCCTATAGTCCCAGCTACTCAGGAGGCTAAGGTAGGAAAATTGCTTGAACCTGGGAGGTGGAGGTTGCAGTGAGCTGAGATTGTGCCACTGCCTCTAGCCTAGGTGACAGAGCGAGACTCTGTCAAAAAAAGAAAAAAAAAAAAAAAAAAGGAAAGGAAAGAAAAAATATTGGGCAATTAACAAGGTTTAATAAACTCCAACTCTATCCCATATCATAGTAGCAAAGCACATGTTTTAAAATTTTAAAAGGCATATGGATTGGAAAGCACTAATAGTATTATGTTTAAGGGCTCATGAGTAACTAAAAATTCAGACTCATTCTTCAAAGAAATACAGATTATCTGTCCAGTTAAGTATAGTGATGAGAAAAATGATAGCTAGTTAATAATTAGAGCTATAAGATAAGGCTGAAGCAGTATGTAGAAGTCAGATCACAGAAAGTTTTGTCTAACATTTGTTCATCTTTGAGTGCTTAGTATTGCCAGGTTCTATGATAAGCATTTTGCATGCATTATCCTTTTTTTTTTTTTGCTTTGTCACCCAGGCTGGAGTACAGTGGCAGGAACATGGCTCACCGCAGTCTCAACCTCCCAGGCTCAAGCGATCTTTCCTCCTCAGCCCCTGCTAAGTAAGTGGGACTACAGGTGCCTGCTACCACACCCAGCTATTTTTTTAGTATTTATAGAGAAAGAGTTTGGCTATGTTGCCCAGGCTGGTCTTGAACTGTCGGCCTCTATTAATCCTCCCATCTTGGCCTCCCAGAGTGCTAGAATTACAGGCTTGAGCCATCACACCCAGCCAGTCCCTTTTTAAAAAATAACCATAATATCCTATGACTTCTCTTAACTTCCAAGTACGATTCTCAGTGAACTTGAAATTCTATTCATGCCCATGTTATTTATAATTCACATGATTTATTTCTCATCCAGTGTCTTTTGCTCAGAAAGACAAAATGCATAGGAAGTTAGCCTGTGCACATTGTAGTATCAAAAGGCACTGGCTTCTGGCCAAGTGTCAGATCATGCCACTGCACTCCAGCCTGGGTGACGGAGCAAGACCCTGTCTTTTAACAAAAACAAAAACAGAAACAAAAAAACCCCAGGGACTCAAACCTACTGAAAAGACAAAAATTACCTTTGGATGTCTCAGGAGAAAGTTGGCAGCCTCCTCAAAATATTCCAAATCTGTTACTTCTGGTTTGCGGGGCAGGTCTTCATAGTTATGGTAAGCCAAGGCCAAGGAGGCGAAGCCACGACTGGCTAGGAGGCTGGCCCGAAATTCAAGCAGCCCACCCAAACCACCAAACAAATCAATTACCCCTGGGAAGAGACCCTCTCCTGAAAAATAACAAAACAGAATTGTACATGAAGAGAAGGTGTGGAAAAGATAAGAAAACTTGAAAATACAAAGCAGAAATACAAATGATTAGATAATAAAAGATAAAATAAATAAATAAAAGATAATAAAAACATGAGAACACAAAGCAGAAATGCAAAATTACATTCAAATGTAATTTTGAAATTAACATTTAAATATTCAAATACAATTCCAACACTTTCAGCCTTCTACCTGGGGCAGAATTAAGGTCCATTGAATATATAATGGAACACAATATCTAGACGTTTGACTAGGAACTACATTCAGAGACATATTTACTCTCTGCAGCTGAGGAAATGGGAATTCACAGTAGTTTCTATACTCTTGTTGTAAAGAAAGGCATATAAATTAGGCCAGGGCTTCTTAACCTATAAAGAAGTATACAAATAAGCTTTAGGAAATCTGTGAAGATCCTGAAATTACAATATATGCAAAATATGGTATATATATATTTGTAGGTGAATTTTACTTATGAGAGGTTCCACAGATTTAATTTGGTTCTCAAAGAAATACATGATTCAAAAACATTTTTTAAATGATTGTATTAGCTAAAATCCTGACTTAACACTGCTCTGCTACATTCATTTGACTATACAGTGATGAAACCTTACACCTAAGCTTATGTAAATGATGAGCCCCTTTATTCAATAACGCCATGTTCATTTTTTGCAGGCTGACACGTGGTAAAAAGTAGGGACGGCCAGAGTATCATTCTACAGTCACTCTGTATAGGCAGCTTTTTTCCAAAATAAAGCAGAGCCCACACACTGAAAGAAACTTACGATGCACTTATTAGGGATATTCTATTCTTTTATAAGTGGTTTTAACTAAGACAGAGTGATCCCATCCATATTTGAAAGAAGTGGCTTGATTTAAAGGAGTATTGGGAATTTTTAAAAATTACTATAATTAAGTACAATGAATAAATAATAAATAAAGTGAAGTTGAATATATCTTAGTTTTAAATTATCATTTGCATAAATGAATAAGGATGTTTTTACCATCTGATTGACAAGAATGGGGGAACACTTAAAAGTACTGAGTCTTTTATCTTGGAAGAATGTTACAGTCATGAAATATTTGTGATCTGACTCAACCTCCTTATAACCTCACACAACTCAGCTCTCTTTTGTTCCCCCGATAGAAAACACACTTGAAGCGGGAGACCCAGCACATGCAGTGTTCAAGAGGATTCACAAACAGCACACCCTAAACCAGCACATCATCCCAAGATGGAAGGCCTGTACCAATAAGCAGATTTTTAACTGGGGTGGGATAATAGAGGCACAGCAATTTGTGCCATTTAATTCTTGGTCCCTATACATAATAAAGTGGTCTATATGCTATTTACTGGGTATTTTAAAAACTCAAATTTATCCGAACAAGTACATGGGTTATGGTGAATTTGGAAAGGAAAGCTTTTATTGCTTTTTTTTCTTCTGAGAAATTAACTTTGCTTTATTTGGCCCCACAATAAACTCTGAGAAATGTACCAAAACATGTTTAAACCACTTATTTATTGGTATTTGGAGATTTCTGTGGGAAACTATGAGCGTTCTGATAAGTTTTATAGCCATTAGGAAGCATGCTATATTATTAGATTCATGGAATAGTCTATAAATATGTAATATTTATGAAGCTAGAGGTTACAAAGTTTCTTGCATCCTCTATATTTGCTGCAATCTTTCAGTCCATCTTATCTCCAGCTTGTTGTGGCAACAAGGTAATAACCCATGCCTAAACTGAAACTCAACCTGACAGAGCCTGTACAAGGATCTGGGATATGGTTTCCATCACATCAAGATGAGGGTCTTCATATAGCTATAAGATTAGAGCTATAAGATAAGGCTGAAGAAGTATGCAGAAGTCAGATCATAGAAAGTTTTGTCTAACATTTGTTCATCTTTGAGTGCTTAGTATTGCCAGGTTCTATGATAAGCATTTTGCATGCATTATCCTTTTTTTTTTTTTTTTTTTTTTTGCTTTGTCACCCAGGCTGGAGTGCAGTATCAGGAACATGGCTCACTGCAGCCTCAATCTCCGAGGCTCAAGAGATCTTTCCTCCTCAGCCCCTGCTGAGTAGCTGGGACTACAGGTGCCTGCTACCACACCCAGCTAATTTTTTAGTATTTATAGAGAAAGAGTTTGGCTATGTTGCCCAGGCTGGTCTTGAACTGTTGGCCTCTATTAATCCTCCCATCTTGGCTTCAGTGCAGAAAAATTTAGCATAAATCCAAAGCTATGTAAAGCCCATAATGTAGGGACTACATAAACTATATGTAGTCACATTCTTAGACAAGCTTCAGAATTGTTGAGATGAAACTTGAGCTGGAGTAGAATATTACCACATTCTTGTTCAGACCCAAGGTTAACATTGATTGTAAGGCAGGAAGCAGTGCTCTAGGTATTATCCATATTCAAGTTAAATTTCTGGAGGGATAATGCATTTAAGGTGGAAAAACAATAATAACAATAACCAGAGTAATTCTACAAGCTATTCAAGCTAAATTTCTAGACGGATAATGTATTTAAAGTGGAAAAACAAGAATAACAATAAGCAGAGTAATTCTACTCACCTGGAGGGAGAAAGAGAGCTCCTCGAAGGCGGCCTTCTCGAACCTTAATTCGTGTGACACCAGGTGCCACATACCACCTCTCCAAAGTCAGGCTGGCCTTTGGAGCACTGGCAACTTTATTGTTCACTATTAACTCTAAGTCATAAAGTTTTACTTGGACCTGGAAAGGCCTATTCATCACATCTCTTTTCAACAGTCTTGTTAATAGCTTTTCAGGTTTCAGAGACCAGAAGAGACCCATGGGGTGGACTCCCATATAATCCCCTCCAAGTGAAGAAGCATGATTCAGGTCCACCTCACCGAATTCATTGGCCCTATAGTGGGCTTGAGAATAAAACATGTCTCCGTTTTCATCTTCCAGTGATGCCTGAAAACTCACCATCTGAAAGGGAATCAGGCCTGTAGCTCGGATATGCACTGGCTCATCAACAAGTGCACTCACAGGGGTAGCTGTCAACTGGATCATTTTTTTAGTGTGGCACCTGGGATGATTCTTCAGGAATATCTTCAGCAAAACCTCAAAACCTCAAAAAAGAAAGAAAGAGGAGCAGTAAAATAAAGTAGAGATAAGGGTTGATGAAAGGTGAATTGAATCAGCAGTCAGACCACTTAGGAGTCAGTTCTAACCCTCTAGTTCTTTAGAAACTTCCTGATATAGTCTTCTAGTACAAGACACCTGAGAGCTTTCAATGAATTTCCAGAAGACAGTAAGCAAGCTGACAAATTTTATAACAATAATGAACCACTGTTAAAGAAGCAGCAGCCAAAATATGCATGAATGGTATCAATACATCTAGGAAGATAACACAATCTGTTATACAGAACCTTTAAAAGAAATCAGGTACAATGGAGGATAAAAATAAGATGTGGGTTTGAAAATATGGTTATTTATTGAACGTTTATATATATATGAGACATTTGACTTCACGCTAATCCCTTCCTCAAGTCCTGGAAACAGAATGCCTTGCATCCAAGAGTTTACCTGCAACAGAACATAAAAAAATAGAGGGATCATGGAATAGGAATACTATACAGCCATGAAAAAATGAAACCATGTCCTTTGCAGCAACATGGATGCAGCTAAAGGCCATTTCCCTAAGTGAACTAATGAAGAAACAGATAACCAAATACCTCATGTTCTCAATTATAAGTGGGAGCTAAACATTGGGTACACACGGACATTGGGAACAGAAGACACTGGGGACTGCAAGAGGACAGAGAGAGGGATGGGGGCAAGGGCTGAAAAACTACCTATTGGGTACTTAATATCAGGGTGACAGGTTCACCTCAGCATCATCACACAATATACCTATGTAACAATCCTGCACATATACCCCCGATCCTAAAATGAAAGTTAAAAAAAAAAAAAACCCAGAAGGATCTTCTCAAAAGAATGAGAATAAAATCTTTGGAAAGAACAAAAGGGGTGGTGTGTGTATTGCTCTTTAGAGAAAAAACATCCATAGCTTTGTACTTAGGATTTACCCAAAGGAAAGCAAAACTAGAAGCTGACAGGCCATTCAGGTACATAAAAGTCTTGCTGAGCTTTTTGTAACCTTTTAAAAATTAAGAAATGCCCATCTCCTTTTGATTAGTGTGAAGAAAGCCACAAGAGTTACCACTGTTCTCTCTCTAACAAACACAACTATCTGCATAAACTACAAAATTAGTTTTGGGGTTGTTGGTTTTTTTTTTTTTTTTGGTCTTTATTTTTGTTTTGTTTGTAACTCATTAGATTACTGAGAATGCAAAGAATCTACATGAATTGAACTCCAGCAAGTGACAAGCTGCTCCATAGGAAACAGAAAGTTTTCTCTCCTACATGCTGATTTACAATTATGATAAAGCAGCAAAAAATAAACCCAACAGAAAAAAATAAGGAGAAATCAACAGAAAATTTAATGTACTTTTAATGGATATGTGTGGATTGGTTTGATAAACTAGAATTCCAAGAAACTGTAGCCACAGAGTAAGTCTTTCTCTATCTGCCAACTTTCCGTAGAGCTTCACCATGTGCTCAGACCGAGATCAGGGGTGCAAGCTGAAAGAAATCTGAGGCATTGCACACCTTCATGTAAAATAAGGCAGCTGCCTTTCAATGAATGGGGTCAGAGGAGCAGAGTAGAGAGAGAATAGGGAATAGGAAATGAAAACACCCTTATATCATATTTCACAAACTGTTCTAAAGACAGCAAATTCTTGCTCAGCTGCTTTTCCTTGCTGTAAAATAAGCTACCAGTAATTCTAAACCAATCTAGAATGCATTGTTTCTGGACCAAATATAAGCATGCATACTTACAAAAATGCTTGGCAATGAGTACTTGGCCTATTTGTCCCCATAGCCATAAAAAATAATGTGATCATGTCTTTTGCAGGAACAGGGATGAGTATCAAATAGCTGAGGAAAGACTAGAATTTATTTTTAAATTCTGTGACTGACTTCCAAAAATCCCTTATCACTAGAAGTACTGGCAAAATATCAGATATTAAAGGATCAGATTTAATTCTTTGATATAAGCATGAAATTTTTACTGATAGCTTTCAGGGCTAGCATAAACCATTAAGTAACCCAAGAAGCATGAGAGACAAGAATGAAGTCTAGTATAAAATGCAAGGCAGGCTGAACGATAACGATGTTTTGTTTTATAGGAAAAGTCAACACTAATAATATACTCCAGAGAAACTATCACCTACTTGGATGTTTTTAACATTATAGCAAACTAAAACGTCAAGCTTCAAAATGACTAAACCTGTAACTTATAGCTGGAACATTTTGCTGAATTTGTCATTATACTATAATTTATAGTGTTCAACATCTGAGGACTCAGCACTATCTTGGCAAACAGACTAACTCCTCCCACCCATCAAAGGTCTCGGGGGTAGGGGCGAAGCCCTTTTCTCCCCATCAATACTGAGCTTTATACCATACAAGAAATCAGTGAAAGGTAAACAACAAGGTACAATGTAATTCTATTATATATTTTGCTTCTGTTATTTGTGACATATACAAGTATATTTTTGGTTTTGGAGCTATAAATTAATTTAGCAAGCTTCAAAGCTCATAAATTTTAACTTTTCAAATGAGAAGTAACTTTTCAAATAAAGTTTAGGACTTTACGCCTATTAATTTTACTATCAAAATGTCTGAAGGACTCCATTTAAATAATTATAATTCTTCTAAATATCATTTGAAGAATTATTTGTGGACACTAGACTCAAGACTACACTAAATCCAAACAGTACACATGACCTAAGTTTTGAAGTTTCTCATCTCAGTTACCTGTCTTTCAACTTGCTACTTGCTCTCATGCTTTCATTCACTAAATACAAACTGTCAGATTCTTAAACTGGACCCTCTCCTCCAAGGCCCTATCAGATTAACTTTGTAAATATGCATCTTCAGTCTTTAAGCACCAACATTTTAAGCTGAGACTAATGCCTAGAGCCACATTTCTAAGTTCAGCACTAAAAATTCATAATTCTGGGGTATTAGCCTAAAATGTACCTGAAAAGTGAACCAAGTTTCAGATATTTTCATAAATCTTGAAACTCCAAACTAGAATTCCAATATTTTTAAAAATATCTCTCATGAAGACAAGGCAACTGTATTTACTGCATCAACACTATTAAAGGATAACTGATAGCAACAAAGGGACCTACCCATATTTCAGAAGGCCAAGATTTGTCATGATAAAATCTAAAAAAATGGGCAAAGGCAATGAGATCCTAAATACCACTATCATAAAAATAATCAGTTTCTATATTTCTATCTTCCTTCTGCTATAAGAGGAACCAAAGAAGTCAAATAGATAATTGTTCTGTCTGAGCCAACAATGAAATCTTTAAGAACAGGTATATTCCCTGTTATTGTCTCAGGGCATTATATCATACCTGCTTTATTTAAAAAAAAAAACCTTCAGAAATAAAAATGAGTTAGCCTTGTGAATGTTTTGAAGCATAGTTTCTTGAATTTCTGTGATGAACTCTTCAAGCAATTCAATTTTTCAGCGTCATCACTCAAAATTCCCTTTGATATGGGATCTATCCCATGATTACTGATATGGTTTGGCTGTGTTCCCAACCAAATCTTAACCTTGAATTGTAATAATCCCCACATGTTAAGGGCAGGGCCAGGTGGAAATAAATGAATCACGGGAGTTGTTCCCCCCCATACTGTTCTCATGGTAGTGAATAAGTCTCACAAGAACTGATGGTTTTATACATGGGAGTTCCCTGCACAAGCTCTTTTGCCTGACACCATGTAAGACATGACTTTGCTTCTCCTTTGTCTTCTGCTATGATTGTGAGGCCTCTCCAGCCATGTGAAACTTTGAGTCCATTAAACCTCTTTCCTTTATAAATTACCTACTCTCAGGTATGTCTTTATTAGCAGTGTGTGAACAGACTAATACAGTTACAAAGCAGCTTCCTCCTTTGTTGTTTGTCAGAGTGGCTCTTTGTTCCTTCAGGATCCTAAACTTCTCATTCAAAGTCATCTCTGTCTGTTTTCCAGCACAATTTATGTCAATTGTAGGGTTCCACTTTAGGAACTTTCGTTATGTCAGATTGCTTCCATTTTGTTAAAAATGAAGATACAGCAGTATGAATTAATCCTGATTTCTGTGTTAGGCATTGCACTGCTCCAGGATTGTCCAAAGATAGAGTCAAAATTCCTCCGTTTGTGGTGAAAGTGAGACAGCCAGTGGGAAGGAGTCCATGGAAAAACTCCAACCGCGGGCGAACTGGGAGGAATGCACACTGGGGTGCCACCGAAGTTTCTGCTATTTGCAGTAGGGAGGAGCCTGGCCCCTCCTCTTCCTGTGTGGAACCTTGGATTCAAATGGCGAGGCAGGGAGCGCACTAGCTGCGATTCCGGCTTTGCCGAAAGTAACTGTTCCCCCTTTTCTCCTTTTTGCCCAATAAGTTCCATTTTTCTCACTCCGCAAATTGTGAGCCTAAATTTTTGTGGCCGTGGGACAAGGACCACATCTTTAGCTGAACTAAAAAGAAGTCCTGCAACAAAAATCTGCCATTGATGAGTTCTCTTTCCGACTACGTTATCCAGCAGTTGCTGTTGTGTTCAACTGGGTCTGAACCTTCACGTCTCTTCTGAAATGAAAAGTTGCCTGACGCATGTGTTTCTGATGGCTTAATTTATTTCCATTCTTGGTAAAATTGGCTGGAATGTTTTTTTTTTCTGTTTAGCTGGTTAGGTCCCTTGAGAACTGCAACTGGTTTTTTTCTGCACTTCATATTTGTCCCAGAAGGTTTGCCTTCCTTTTTAACACTAGAAAATATCGTTCTATATTCCTGTCACCTAGAGACGGATGATTCATAGGATTAATTTCTTTGTGAATTCCAGTTGCTTTCCTAGATGCAAGGCCAGTGATAACTCCATAAAGCTGTCTCTTTCCAGGCATTACTCATCCTCTGTGCTCAGACTAGTCTTACCAAAGCCAGAATTCTGTTGAATTCTCCATCATATGCTCATCCTGAATTGCCAGGCTCCAGTTAGAAAATTATGCTTCTTTCCTCCCTGTCAATTTAGTTTGATGATATCATCCAAAGACATACCAATTTTGTTGAGATTTTCATTGTTGCGGGCTTTCAGTGGCAGCAATGGGGTCACCCTGCCTCCCACCAACCAGGTACCAAAATGGTTCATGGCTGGGGATGCCTCACTAGAACAGTCAGCAGAGAAGGCCACAGTTGGAGGCCTGCCACCTCCCACTCACGCACAAAGACTAGCTGCATTGTTGGAGGCCTGCCACCTCCCACTCGTGCACAAAGACTAGGAGCATGTAGGCATGCTGGCCCGGTTTAGTGGTATTTTAAAGATTGTTTCAAAATGAATGGAAGAAATGATATAGATACAAATAAATAGATCTAAAAGTTAGAGAAAGAGAAACATAGAAAGCAATTTTGTAAGAGGGCATTAATGGGCATTAGGTAGATTCCATGTCTTTGAAACTGTGAAAAGCTATTGTGAATAGTGCTGCAATGAACTTTCATATGCATGTGTCTTTATGGTAGAGTGATTTATTTATATTCCTTTGGATAGAGAAAAGCTTTATGGAATTCTTGTGTGGTCAAAAGCTGAGTGAGAGTCAATGAAATCATTCATAAAATTTTATTAAAATTAGCTTTACTATTGATAATACTCTAATACAAAGCAAAATTTAGTTTTCTCTTTTGAACAAGATTTTTGGATAGTATTAATGAGAGATAATAAAATTTTTGTTTACCTTTTGAGTCTTAATACAACACTATCAAATGTTGGGTGGACCAAAGGGAGTCCCTGCTGGTTCCCCAACATTAAAGAGCCCCAAATCAGTTTTCTATATTTACACCAGATTGGGGAAGTTTCAAAAATCAGAAGGCAAAAATTACAATGAGAAAGCTGATTAATAATTTCCTGGGGCAATGTGGAGACAGACTAATCAGATAAAGATTGACAAAAAGGCCCACATCCCTTGGCTCAACTCCTTGCTGGGAACCCAGAGGTTTTTTCACAAGAGAGGGTAAAATGGTCTGGGGGTGGAGTACAGAAGTTCCTGAGACTAGAGCATAAAATATAAGGATTGATAGGATTATAAAAGCTAAAATGTTTACAACACCCCTTCATGCTAAAAACTCTCAGTAAACTAGATATTGATGGAACATATCTCAAAATAATAAGAGCTATTTATGACAAACCCATAGCCAATATCATAATGAATGGGCAAACCTGGAAGCATTCCCTTTGAAAACCAGCACAAGACAAGGATGTCCTCTCTCACCTCTCCTATTCAACAAAGTATTGGAAGTTCTAGCCAGGGCAATAAGGCAAGAGAAAGAAATAAGGGGTATTCAAATAGGAAGAGAGGAAGACAAATTGTCTCTGTTTGCAGATGACATGATTCTATATTTAGAGAACCCCATCATCTCAGTCTAAAAACTCCTTAAGCTGATAAGCAACTTCAGCAAAGTCTCAGGATACAAAATCAATGTGCAAAAATCACAAGCATTACTATACCAATATTAGACAAGCAGAGAGCCAAAACGTGAGTGAACTCCCAATCACAACTGCTACAAAGAGAATAAAATACATAGGAATACAGCTTACAAGGGAAGTGAAGGACCTCTTCAAGGAGAACTACAAACCACTGCTCAAGGAAATAAGAGAGGACATAAACAAATGGAAAAATAATTCCATGCTCATTGATAGGAAGAAGTGATACTGTGAAAATGGCCATACTGCCCAAAGTAATTTATAAATTCAATACTATTCACAGAACTAGAAAAAACTACTTTAAATTTCATATGGAACCAAAAAAGAGCCCATATAGTCAAGACAATCCTAAGCAAAAAGAA